>NC_000012.12:113520734-113672249 GCF_000001405.40 Homo sapiens
CCCTGTCTTGCCACAGGGTATTTGTCAAGGTCTTCGTCTTCTCCGCTAGAGGATAGTGGTGGCAGTTTGTGCCTTGCTCTTTTCCAATGCCCAGCACAGTGCCTGGTGCAGAACAGGTGCCCAGTGATGGTGTGTTTCCAAGCACCCCTTGCAAGATTTCATTTGCTTCTTCTGGGAATCAAAACACATTATTCCCATTGGATGGATGGAAAAACCGAGGCTCACAGAACGAGGCTGAGTTGCACGGATTGTTGGGGGCAGAGTTGGGATTTGAAGCTGGGTCTTGACCCTTCTGATGGAGAAAAAGACATTTGAAGGAATGAAGGTCCATCCAGCCCTGTGATTCTAGAAAGTTCTTTGCTTTGGGAAAGAGAAATCTGAAGCTAACCAGGGGCCAGAGGAACTAATGTCTCCATGTTCTCATCCAAGAGGATGAAACAAGGTGGCCTTTAAACCCAGCTACTCTGGAGGCCGAGGTGGGAGGATTGCTTGAGCCCAGGAGTTTGAGGCTGCAGTGACTCTGTGTCTAAAAATAAAAATAAAATAAATAAAAGATACTAACCTGAAAATGTCTCTTCCCTGCCATGGCACACTGCATGGGCAGCTGGTCCTCCTGACTTCACCTCCTCTAGCCGCCCCTACATTTTTTCATTCCTCCCTTTCATTTCCAGCCCCTTACTCAGGCCAGTTCCCTTGCCTGGAAGCTCTTCTCCCTCTCTTCGTCCAGCCCTGGGTTTCCCAACTTTGCCTGCACATTAGAATCACCTGGGCATGTGTTTAAAGCTCAGCCCTTAAGCCCCACTGCAGACCAATTGAAGTTGATTCTTCGGGGGTAGGACCTGGGCGTGTGTATTTTTAAGAGCACCCCTGGTGATTCTGAAGCCCTGGGAGGGTTGAGAGGCTGTGGCCCAGCCAATTGCTACTCCTGTTTCAGACCTGAGCCCAAGGGCCACTTCCTGACCCCCAGGCCGGGTCAGGTCACCCTGAATTGCCTCAAGGCCTGCTCAGCCTCCACCTCCTCATCTCTTTGTAATCACAAGCATATTTGATTTACACGTCTCCCCGACATTTGCCTGCAAAAGGGCAGGGACCTCTCTGTTCAGTTCATAGCTGCATCCTCATCGCCCAGAACGTCATGCGGGAGGTGCTCAGTGAGGTTTTGTTGAATGAAGGAGGAAACCTTGAGAGAAATGAGTGGCATTGAACCAAAGCCTGAGAACAGAATCTAAAAGGGGCTTTTATGTGCGTCACCAATGTGCCCTTTTCTGCTCAGAGGCTGGGGTGTGGATGTTCTTAATGAGATGCTCAAATATGGCCTGGCCTTCAAAGTCTTTCCCAGGTGCCCCTCAGGACCTCGGCTCCCCTCCGCTCCCCTGCACCTCCCCTGCTTTTACATCCCTCGGCTTGTCCCTGTCATGGTTCACCCCTCCAAGCCTTTGCCCCAGCTACCCCTCATCCCCAGAGTGCAAGGTGGGGACCGCTCCCCAGGAAAGAAGCTTCCATGCCGTAGGTGTTCAATGGATTTCTACTGAACGAATAAAAGGATTTGGAACAGGAATCTTGGGGGCATGTGCAGTTTGAAAAAGCATGTTCAATGTTATGTCATTGTATATTTGGACAGTGAAAGAGAACAATCTAAGCAGGGAAGTGGAAAAATGAACATCACTGGCCTGGGAATCTGACTGCCCAGGTTTCAATCCATGACCTACCATCTATGTGCTGTGCTACTGTAGACAAGTTACTTAATCTCTCTGTGCTGCAGGTTTCTCATCATAAAACCGTGGTACTTGCTGTATAGTGTTACTATTATTATATAATACTGTGGGTATTAGATAAACTATTTAAGCATAGTATATGTATGTTACATGTAATACATTGTAATTATCATATTGTCATGATTAAATGAATAAAGCTCTTGGAACAATGCCTACACATATGAGTGCTCAATAAATAGCATCTGTAATTTTTATTATTTGTAATATAAACTAAGGCTCAGGGACACTGTCTGAGTCTCCAGGGAGGACTCCTGACTTTTATGACTTAGTGACCCTCCAGCTTGGAGAGGGGTTTCTTGGAATGGGGGGGAGGGGAATCAGAGCCTGACTCCTCCCCGGGGAGAGTTGCAGATTTATCAAAAAGACTATGGGCGAAAAAAGGGCTTCATCACATCACAGCTCCTCTTTGAGGATCGGGCCTGGGCTCCATCCCACCCAGGCTCCTCTGACCTGGCTGTTGCTGGGGATGAGCAGGTGAAACGGCCCGAAGAGATGGCAACTAAAAACGCAAAAATTAGCCAGGCATGGTGGCACATGCCTGCAATCCCAGCTACTCAGGAGGCTGAGGCATGAGAATAGCTTGAATCTGGGAGGTGGAGGTTACAGTGAGCTGAGATCGCACCACTGCACTCCAGCCTGGGCAACAGAGCAAGACTCTTTATTAAGGAAGCAAACAAAACACCAAAAAGTTAGTAGGAAGGCAGGAGCTTCATACAAAGCTAAATGTATCTAATACAAACCATTGTCCCTTATTCTGAGATTTTGTCCTTCCTACTGGTTTTGTTTAGCTTTTTTTTTTTTGGTGTTAAAATGTCTATTCTATTTTTAAATTATAATGATAAGAGCCAGTATTTTTTTTTTTTAACATTTTCAATCTTGGTGAGATGAAGCATTCACAAACTTAAAATGGTTCCTTATTTTGGGGGTGGGGGAAGAATTCACTAGTGCTGTAAAGTCCAAGTGAATCAATGATAGCATGATTCATTTATTCAGCTTGGTTCCTATCTCCATACAAGAGGTGGGGTAATCTTATAAACACAGGAATCAGATCATGTTGCTCTCCTGCCTAAAGCTCTTCCATCTTTCTCAAACTAGAACTCAATGTGTGGCTCTAGTCTATGAGACCCTCTACCATCTCTGGCCGCTGTTGTTCTCCAAACACACCAGATGCACTCCTACCTCAGGGCCTTTGCCCTTGCTGCTCCCCCTGCCTGGCATGTTCTTCCTCCAGAAAGCTGCAGGACTCCTTCCTTTACTTTGTCCAGGTCTCAGATTCAACATCACCTCAGAGAGGCTTTTGTCCACTCCTCTGCAGAAGACAGTCCCTGTGCCATCTTCCTGATTGTTTTTGATCCAGCATCCTATTTTTCCCCTCCTACCACTTAGTTATCTGGAATTATTGAATGCATTTGTTTACTTGCTTTCCATTTGTCTCCCACTAAAATGTCAGCTCCCCAAGGGTAGATACCTCATCTATTTCGTTTGCCATCTTTTTTATTTATATTTATTCATTTATTTAGATGGGGTCTCGCTCTATTGCCCAGGCTGGAGTGCAGTGGCACAATCTCAGGTCACTGCAAACTCCGCCTCCTGGGTTCAAGCGAGTCTCCTGTCTCAGCCTCCTGAGTAGCTGGGACTATAGGCGCCCACCACCATGCCTGGCTAATTTTTGTATTTTTAGTAGAGATGGGGTTTTACCATGTTGGCCTGGCTTGTTTGCCAACTTTTGTTTGACTTCTGAACACCTAAAGCCCGCAGCCCAGGGTTGGGTAGATAACAGGTGCCCAAGACACTGCAGTCAGAGGACCTCATGGAAAGTCCCGAGGTTGCTTCCAAGAGTCCCTCCTTTGAAACTCCTCCTGAATGGAGGCATAAGGGGTCACGGTGGTGTGTCCCACACACACATGCCCCCTTATGCATTGTGAGACTAAGCCAGAGCCCCTCCTCGGTGCCAGCCCGTGGTAGGCACCAGGGTATGTATTACTGTCAATGAGATAGTCAGATATGGTGCACGGACAGGTGGCCAGTGAAGGCCCAGTCTACGAGTTCTGGGAGCAGGACATGGGACATAGTGGGCTGGTCTGAAGCTCCCTTGCCCTTGGATCCATTTCCTATCTTCCCCTGCCCAGGGCTATACCATGGGAGATGGAGGGGAGGGTGATGCCTGCAGCCCATGCTTCCAGGCTCCTGGGTTACCCGGGTTTGGCCAAGAGGAGGCGCTGTCAAAGGATTGAGGGCAGAGGGTGAGAGAAGCCGGGAGATTTCTCCCCATCTCTCTCTACCATGGGTGGCTTCTCCAGTCACCATTGCATCTCCTCTGCAGCTCCCTCTCCTGCTGAAAAGCTGCCAGCTATGGCTCTAGTTTCTTCTTTCTTTTTTTTTTTTTTTTTTTGAGACAGAGTCTTGCTCTGTCTCCAAGGCTGGAGTGGTGTGGCGTGATCTTGGCTCACTGCAACCTCCTCCTCCAGGGGTGAAGTGATTCTCCTGTCTCAGCCTCCTGAGTAGCTGGGACTACAGGTGCATGCCACCACACCCAGCTAATTTTTGTATTTTTAGTAAAGACAGGGTTTCACCGTGTTGGCCAGGCTAGTCTCAAACTCCTGACCTCAAGTGATCCGCCCACTTTGGCCTCCCAAAGTGCTGGGATTACTGGCGTGAGCCACTACACCTGGCCTTGGTTCTAGTGTTTTCTGAGGTTCTGGTGATACCATCCCTTTCCTCTGTTCCTTAGAGTCGGGTGGGTGGAAGCAGCTTCCCACTCTTGCCAGTCTCCAGGTGTCTCCTCTCTGTTCTCTGTTGAGCTTTCTGCCTCTTCAAAGTAACCAATTTTCTGCCTTCGTTTCCTCTGTGGGTAATACCTGAAGAGGCTTCTGATGTCCTCACTGGCCCCTGACTGATGCAGATGGAGCCGTGGGAGCCCAGCACACCTGGCGGAAACCTGGAGAGGCTCCCTGGAGGAACCTGTACCTGCTTCGAGACCTGCTGGACCTTTGTGGCAAAACTTCCTGTTTAGATCTTTCCTGAACTTAGCCCCGTCACATCACACAGCAGTCCCTCCCATCAAGGTGTCAATACTATTGATGATTCTTTGTTGTGTGGGGCTGTCTTATGCAGAGTAGGATGTTTGGCAGCATCCCTGGCCACTAGATAATGCCAACAGCACCCCCACCTCCTAGCTGTGACAATCCAAATATCTCAACATTGCTAAGTGTCCTCTGTGGGCCAAAGGGCCCCAGTTGAGAACCACTTCCTGATATCTATGTAGAGCACAGAGTGGTTCTTGATCCTGGTGACACTCTAGAATTGGGTGGGCAGCTTTTAAAAATAGCAGTGGCAGAGCTTCGTTCTGGCTGGCTGATTCTGATGATATCAGAATCTCTGGGGTGGGGGGCATCCTGGGCATTGGGGTGTTTTATGCACACGCAGAGTTGAGAGGCACTGGGCCAACCCAGTGAGATGCCACCCCTACCTTGATTATTTCCTGATTCATAGGGAAGGAAACTGAGGCTCAGACAGCCCAAGTGTGGCAAAGTCTCACACCAAGTGATGAAGCCGCATAAAGACCCAGATATTGCCAAAATGCCTTTGTTAAACCAAATAACAAATGTAAAGAAAAAAAATCCACTTCTCCCACACAAACAAACACATGCATAAACTCACACCAATAAAAAAAACAGCAACTACTGCTTTGCAAGTTTTGCCAACCTTTGTTTCTACAGAGGACAGGGACCCCAAGGGCTACTTTCCCTCCCGGGGCTCTGCTTTCATTTTTCCAACCCATTTTATGCTCCAGAATAGCATCTGTGTCCTGCTTTCTCTCCTGGGACCCTCACAGAGTGCCAATGGTCTAGAGGCGTTGCCAGCCTGCACATCTGTGATGCTAATGGCACTGGGATGGTCTTAGCTCCCCCACCTCCTTAGGTCCTCTTATCGGCCAGGCACCTCCAGGCTAGAACTCCTTCTCAGCCCTCCCCACCGTGGGTTTAAGCCAGGACTTCTTCTTGGAGCAGGAAGTTTCCTAGCTTATGTCAAATGCCTGAGTTACCTTTTTTCTTTCTCTTTGCAGTGGGCATTTTTATATTCTCAGGGCACAGAAGTTCTGTCCCATTAACCTAAATCATTTAATAAGGTTATTTTTGCTTCTTTAAATGATTCCTCTTCTTTGGAAAGTCTTCCTGGATCATTTTAGATCAAGAATTGGCAAACTATGGCCCCTGGACCAGACGTCTATTCTTGTAAATAAAGTTTTAGCATTACGTAGCCACGGGCGTTTGCTTTCATGTTGTGTGTGGCCACTTTTTGAGGCTCAATGGCAGAGCTGAACAACTGCAGTAGAGACTTTACGGCCTGCAGAGGCTAAAATATTTGCTCTCTGTTCCTTCACAGAAAAACTTTACGAACCCCTGTTGTAAGACAGCAACTTGGGGCGCAGAGGAGGTTTTCATCTGGGAATTCTGGGTATTGGTCCCAGTTCCATCAACTCACTGGGAAACCTTGGGGCAAGTCATGCTTCTTCTCTGTTTGCTCATTTGTGAATGAAGAGGATTCTTTATTATTTTTTTTTTTTCTTAGAGACAGGGTCTGGCTCTGTCTCTCAGGCTGGAGTGCAGTGGCACAATCATAGCTTACTGCGGCCTCAAACTCCTGGGCTCAGTTGATCCTCCTGACTTAGCCTCCTGAGTAGCTGGGACTACAGGAGCACGCTACCACACCCACTGAATTACTTTTTTTTTTTTCTTGGTAGAGACGAGGTCTCACTATGTTGCCCAAACTGGTCTCAAACTCCTGGCCTCAAGCCATCCTCCTGACTCAGCCTCCCACAACGCTGGCATTACAGGTGTGAGCTACTGTGCTCGGCCAGCATTTGTTCTAATTGGCTCTACCTCCACACTGTATCCCAAATGAAATATTTCTCTTCATCCCTACTGCCATGACTCTGGTCCAAGCTACCATCTTCTCTCACCTGTACTAAGGCATCAGCCTCCTTATTAGACACCTGGCCTTCCCCTGCCCCAGTTCTTCCCTGCTGCACTGCCAGAGGGATCTTTGTAAATTATCAATCAGAGCTCATCACTCCCAGCTCAAGCCCCTCACACCCCATTGTGTTCCTATGGCTTCCAAGGCCAGGTCCTGTCGACTCTCTGCTGCCTTCCTGATCTTACCCTCATGCCATCCCATTGCTCCCTGTGTGCCAGCCACACTGGTCCTCTGGCTACCCCTCAAACCCATCAGCCCCCTCCTACCTCAGGGCCTTTGCACATGCTGTTCCCTCTACTGAGAACGACTCACACTTGAACTTTGTCCAGGTCTCTGCTCCAATGTTGCCTACC
The DNA here is from genome assembly GCF_000001405.40 of Homo sapiens. Lineage (NCBI taxonomy): Eukaryota > Metazoa > Chordata > Mammalia > Primates > Hominidae > Homo > Homo sapiens. The sequence goes on from NC_000012.12 coordinate 113,527,840, forward strand.
CCGCTTAGATCCTCCTCAACCACCTTCCAAAATACTTAAGTTATTTAGTTACTTGTATATTGCCTGGCTCTTCTGACTAATTATAAACTCCATGAGGGTCAGGGATTGTGTCTGTCTAGAAAGATCACCACCAAATCCTCAAAATAGGGAACAGTGCCCAGGTATGCATGTGCTCAAGAAATACTTATAGGGAGGGCTGGATAAGGTGGCTCACACCTGTAATCCCAGTACTTTGGGAGGCTGACAGGAAAATTGCTTGAGCCCAGGAGTTTGAGACCAGCCTGGGTAATATAATAAGATCCCTGTCTCCACAAAAATAAACAAGAAAAAACATTATCTGGGCATGATGACATGTGCTGTAGTATTAGCTACTGGGGAGGCTGAGGTAGGAGGATCATTTGAGCCCAGGAGTTTGAGGCTACAAGGAGCTAGGACCACACTACTGCACACCAGCCTGGGCAATAGAGTGAGACTCTGTCTCTAAACAAAGAAAGAAAGGAATACCTTCCGGAACGAATGAATGAATGCATGCTTATTTTGCAAGGTTGCCAGGAAGATGTAAATAATGCATGTAAATCATTTAGCACCCTACTTGGTACTATAGGTATTCACTGAAAGGCAATGCCTATTAGTTCTCAAAAAGACAGAGAGCTTGTCCAGTGCCAAGGCTGTGCCTTCTCAGATAGGCTCCTTCCCTGAACTTTCCTTAGGTCTGAAGGGTTCCTAAGGCTGCCTCTGTTTTCCTCTCTTTTTGTGTCTCTGCTTCCTGGAGGTGTGGCCGGTAGGTCTTCAGCCCCTGCCCCCTCCCTGTTTCCCTCTCTCTTCCCCCTGTCAGGTGTTTTGCCTATCTTGGGTCCTAATTGAGATGGCAAATTCCAGGGACAGGGCTTACAGCCAACTCTGCCAGCCTCCTCTGCCAGCAGCAGGAGGAAGACAACAAAACCCCAGCATTGCGGCGTGCAAGCCCCTCTCTCTCCAGCAGGAAAGGAGCCTTGAGCCTGGCCCATTCGGTCCACTCCATCGTGGGAGCCCGGACTGGCCAAAGGCACGAGTCCCAGCTCCTCTGTGCTCCCAGCCAAGAAGCACCTGATGTCCCTTTGCCGTCCCCTCGGACACCGTGCCAAGCTAAGGGGGCAGTTTTCTGCTAAATGGAGACCAGGTGGTTTCTAAGGCAATTAGAACCCCTGAGCTGGTGCTGGGCATTGGTGTGGGGGAGTGCCTGCTTCCCACTTCTCTTCGCTGGCTTTATTTGTTTGCTTTGGATTAGAGAGGCTTGTGCAAAACCTAGACTTGTTTCTGTCCTGTTTCCACTCCCCCAAGGCTGGGAAGCTGACACTTGCAGTTCCCCTGTGAACTGGAGGCAGCCCGTGTACTGGAGCACCTCATTCGTAAAATGGGAGACGAAGTCCTGTCTTTCACAGTTGTTGTGAATGCATTTTGTAAAGTTACTTCCTGCACAAGTGTATTTGAATCATTTATGCAACAGAGGTCTGGAGACAGAACATTGTGGGTAGAGAGGACAGCAGATGCAAAGATCTTAAAGTGGGAAAGAGCACAGTGTTTTGAGGTTTGAGGGAGGCAGCTCATGCCCATGCTTATGGAGGGAGCTCTCAAATATGCATTTGGAAAGAAGCAAAGGCTTAAAGAGGATGGAAACTTTCTTAAGATTCAAGAGCAACTTGCTTTGTTGGCTCACTTAGTAGAGGTGCTGGCCTAGATGCCAGACCTACAGAAAATTTGATGTCTGCTTCCTGTCTCCACAGTCCAGTTGGGAGACGCTAACCAGAAACAGAAAGATTACAGTGAACTCGCTACTCCAATAATCAAACTTACACGTGCAAGAGCAACACTCAGACCTGGATTCCAGCCCTGCCACTTGGTAGCTGTGCAGCCTCAGGCACAGGGCAGCATTTTCCCCTGCCCTAGACATTTGTAGGACTTTGAACTTGAGAAAGATGATTTAGGGTATCAGGCAGAAGAAATTTCTAAGCAGCAAAGCATTCAAGAGATGACTTGAGTGCTGTTAAAGACATTCAGTTTTAAAAGGGAAACAGCATAAAAGTTTGGAAAATTTGCAGCCTGACAATGTGATAGAAAAGAAAATCTCATTTTCTCAAAAAAAAAAAAAAAGAAAGAAAGAAAGAAAAGAAAAGAAAATCTCATTTTCTGAGGAGAAATTCAAGCTGCCTGCAGAAATTTGCATAAGTAATGAAGACCCCAACGTTAGACCCCAAGACAATGGGGAAAAATGTCTCTAGGGCATGTCAGAAGTCTTCATGGCAGCCCCTCCCATCACAGGCCCAGAGGCCTAGGAGGAAAGAGTGATTTCATGGGCTGGGCCCAGGGTCCCCCTGCTGTGTGCAGCCTATGGACTTGGTGCCCTGCATCCCAGCCACTTCAGCTGTGGCTGAAAGAGGCCAACATAGAGCTCGGGCCGTGGCTTCAGAGGGTGCAAGCCCCAAGCCTTGGCAGCTTCCATGTGGTGTTGAGCTTGCCATTGCACAGAAGTCAGGAATTGGGGTTTGGGAACCTCCGCCTAGATTTCAGAGGATGTATGGAAATGCCTGAATGTCCAGGCAGAGGTTTGCTGCAGCGGTGGGGCTCTCATGGAGAACCTCTGCTAGGGCAGTGCAGAAGGGAAATGTGGGGTTGGAGCCCCCACACAGTGTTCCCACTGGGGCACCACCTGGTGGAGCTGTGAGAAGAGGGCCACTGTCCTCCAGACTCCAGAATGGTAGATCCACTGACAGCTTGCACCATGCACTTGGAAAAGCTGTAGACACTCAAAGCCAGCTTGTGAAAGCAGCCAGGAGGGAGGCTGTACCCTGCAAAGCCACAAGAGCAGAGCTGCCCAAGACCATGGGAACCCACCTCTTGTGTCAGCGTGACCTGGATGTGAGACATGGAGTCAAAGGAGATCATTTTGGAGCTTTAAGATTTGACTGCCCCACTGGATTTTGGACTTGCACAGGGCTTGTAGCCTCTTCGTTTTGGCCAATGTCTCCCATTTGGAATGGCTGTATTTACCCAATGCCTGTACCTCCATTGTATCTAGAAAGTAACTAATTTGCTTTTGATTTTACAGACTCATAGGCAGAAGGGACTTACCTTGTCTCAGATGTGACTATGGATTGTGGACTTTTGAGTTAATACTGAAATGAGTTGAGACTTTAGGGGACTGTTGGGAAGGGATGATTGGTTTTGAAATGTGTGGACATGAGATTTGGGAGGGGCCAGGGTGGAAGATACAGTTTGACTCCATCCCCACCCAAATCTCATCTTGAATTCCCAGATGTTGTGGGAGGAACCTGGTGAGAGGTGATGGAATCATGGGGGCAGGTCTTTCCCATGATGTTCTTGTGATAGTGAATAAGCCTCATGAGATTTGATGGTTTTGTAAGGGGAAGTTTCCCTGCCCAATCTCTCTCTTTGCCTGCTGCCATCCATGTAAGACATGACTTGCTTCTCCTTGCCTTCCGCCATAATTGTGAGGCCTCACCAGCCACGTGGAACTGTAAGTCCATTAAACCTCTTTCTTTTGCAAATTGTCCAGTCTTGGGTATGTCTGTATCAGCAGTGTGAAAATGGACTAATACACATGGGCTCAAGCGATTCTCCTGCCTCAGCCTCCCAAGTAGCTGGGACTGCAGGCACACACCACCATGCCTGGCTATTTTTTTAATTTTTAGTAGAGAAGGGGTTTCACCATGTTGGTCTTGAACTCCTGACCTCAAGCAACCCACCCACCTCAGCCTCCCAAAGTGCTGGGATTACAGGTGTGAGCCACTGCCCTGGCCCAGAATCAACTTAAATAAACATATTAAATGAATTGTATTAGATGTGCCATTTGAATCTGGCAAGAACCATGCTTGGGGCATTTGAAAAGAACACGAGTTTGAGAGACCTTTCTTTTTATCCAACCTCAGGAATGTGGTGATTGCTCCCACTTAACACAGCACCCACTGTGTGCTGGGCACATTTCTATGGCTTTCAATACCTAAAGCTGAGGACATCCTAACCTAATATGTGGTAAGCGAAATTATTAGCCCCATTTACCAGATGAGGAAACTGAGGCTCAGAGACATTAGGCAATTCTCCCCAAATCTCGCAGCTAGCAAATGGCCAACTCAGGACTTGAAGGGGGCCGTTCTGGGATTAAGGAAATGTAGCTTTAGGGGCTGTGCAGGCAGGTACTTGGCTATAGTTCTAGAAGAGGAAGATGTGAAACACTGAGATACGTTCTGCGTACCTCCTGCCCCATGACCACACTAGTGTTATTTTCTAATTGGTTCGATCCAGGATCTTAGCAATTCAGGAAGCAAAATAGCCCACTGAGCTGTTAAAACGTGGCCTGCGCTCCAACCACCAAAAATTCTATGCTCTCCCCCAGTGGGATGGTGGCATCTACTGATTTGCTGTCCTGCACCTTCCCATCTGCCTTTGCCATTCCCTTTCACTAAATCCTAGGCTGGGGAAGCCCTCCCCAGAACCCCATAACCCCGTAACCCCCTGTTCCCCAGCTGGTGGGTCTGGGAAGGTGGGCCAGGCCTGCGATGGTCCCGCCGCCATCCACATACTCCAGCCCTGCCTCTTTGTCTCTCTTCCCTTGGGACCAATGTCTCATTCCCCAGGGTGTCAAGGGGAAAATTAATCACCCGGGGGAGATCAGTCAGCCTGCTGACTTGGCAGGGGAAAGACAAAGAGAAATAGGGTGTTTCGCGGATTGGTTGGGTCCCCCATTAAGGGATGGAAAAATGCTTGCTTTGCGATTACAAATGGCCAACATTCAGGCGGGCAACTCCCGTCCCCGCTCACCTCGGGAAATTGCTGCTAATGCGGTTCTGGAGAAGGTGGCTGTCTCCTTTCTTCCAGGTCAGATCCTAGCTTCTCTGCGAACCTTCAGGGGCAATGCCTGCTTTCCCTCTCCAGCCGGGCCTCCAGCCCTCTTGGTCTGGCACCTCTCAATCCAGAAGATGGGCTCCAGTCTCTCAATCCAGAAGATGGGCTCCAGTCTTTTTTGCATCGTACCTTCGGCATCTGTAAAAGCGACACTTCAGCCATGGAGGAGAGGCACCCTGTGTAGTGGTTATGGGCATAGACTCGTATGATTTGGGTTAAGAGGAGCCTGTGTGACCTCAGCAGGCTGCTGAATTTTTCTGTGTCACAATGTCCCCTTTTGGGTGATGGGATTGATAATAGTGCCCCTTGTGCCAGTCGTGGGGCTACTGCCCTCAGCTCTACTCCCTGCTCTGCTCAGTGTCACCAGGGGCTGACCCATAGGCTGCATGGTCCTGGCTCCCCTTGTATCAGCTGTGCTCAGCCAATGGGAGATCTGTTGGGTGGAGGAAGGGAGAGGCCAGGGTTTTTCTCTCTCTCTGTCCTGACCTGGGCCGCCTCTCCACCTGGAACCCCTTCCTCCATCTCCCGGCTGTGGTTCCAGCTTCCATGGGCCCCACCACTGGGCTCTGGGAATATCACTCCCACCCCGTCCCTCCAGCCTAGGGGTGGAAGTGCTGGCTTGGGATCACTTCCTTGCTCTCCCTTCCCTCTGTTTTCACACTTAGAGTGGTGTGTGTTTCCCAGGTTTGATCCTGATGGCCATGCTATCTCAGAGGGCTGTTCTGGGGTTAAATGAGCTGTGTACTTAGAATGAGTAGAGCACCTTGAAAAGTACTCGGTGCAGAGTAGGTGCCATGTAAGTGCTTGTTAAGTAAAATGAGAACGGCTCACGTTTACCGAGCGTTTCGCACCATGGCAAGCATTTGCCTGTGTTGCATTGTCTCATTTAATTACCGCAAAGTAGACATTTGGATGATCCCCTATTTATAAATAAGCAGACTGTGGCTCAGAGAGGCTCAAGGACCTGCTGGTTTCCACAGCTTGTACTCAGCAAAATCTGAACTTCAACCCAGGTCTCTCCACCTGACGCTGCTTCCCTAAACCCACCTCCAGGTTGTTTTACAACTTGTAAAGCCTTTCCTGTCCACTTACTCCATATAATAGCATTGTAGGGTAGACATAATGTTAGCCCCAGATTATAGGTGAGAAAATTGAGACGAAGAGAGGGGCTTAGGAGCTTGTTCAACATTGCACAGCCAGTTTATGCTGGAACCAAGATTTGAATGTGGATTCTCTTGTCTGGGCTTACTCTGCTGAAGAGGACAACTTGCTGCTTCCAAGATCTCATTGGAGCCTCTTCCTCCAGGAAGCCTTCTCTGGTTCACAATGGCCAGATGACTGTCTCCTTTCAGAGCCAGTTTGCTGTGACATTGCTTTCAGTCTTCCTCGTTTCCCAGGAGTCTCATGTCTTCGGTTTCCACGTGGGAGTATGTTAGGGAGGTTGTAAATTCTCCCACGCAGGGTCAATCCTTACTTCCATCTTTCTACTGAATCTCTGACCCAATCTCCGTTTCAGCATTCACATTGCTGTTTCTACTCAGAGCAAAACCCCAGCAAATCCTTTCTAAGTCTGACCTGCCTCAGACCTTTCTAATAACCTCTTTTTTTTAATTAAAAAAATTTTTTTTGAGACCGAGTCTCACTCTGTTGCCCAGGTTGGAGTGCAGTGGCATGATCTCAGCTCACTGCAACCACCGTCTCCCGGGTCCAAGCAATTCTTGTGCCTCAGCCTCCCAAATAACTAGGATTACAGACACCCACCACCACACCCAGCTAATTTTTGTATTTTTTGTAGAGACGGGGTTTCGCCATGTTGGCCAGGCTGATCTCGAACTCCTGACTTCAAGTGATCTGCCCACCTCAGTCTCCCAAAGTGCTGGGATTACAGGTGTTTTCTGATCACCTCTTAACACTCTCCCTGCAACATCTCATGGTGCATGAGCTTCTGAAGCAGAGGGGTTGAGGGCGGTCTCCAAGCTCATCACTGACACGCTGTGTGACCATGGGCAAATAATAAACCTCTCTGTGCCACGGCCACTTCTTTGGCAATAACAGTACCTCTCTCCCAGGGCTGCTGTGAGGATTAATATATGTGACATACTCTATCTGCGTTAGCTGCTATTATGGGGCTGGTGTGGGATGGTAGATCCCTTCCTGTCCCCTGCCCTGTCTCTGTGCACCCAGAGCCCCCTTCTTGCCCTATCAGGGTCGTCAGGGTCTGACCTTCCCCATGGCTTCCCCCAGGCCTGAGTGCAGAGCTGCGGGTTGGAGACGTAAATCCTAGATGGCGAGGCCTGACTGCGGGCTGTGTGACCTTGGACAAACCAAGTCATGTCTGTGGGTCTCCGTAGTCTCAGCTTCAATTTGAGTTGTCTAATCTCTGTCCCCGCTCTGCCTCAGAGGGTTGTGGTGACATTGAGATGAGACGACAAAATCCAGGCACTGTCATTATTAGCTACAATAACTCACCGCTGTTCTGTGGTTTGTAGGTTGCCCCTACCAACCATAGTCAACCTATAAACCACAGAACAGAGGTGAGTTAAGTACAGTTGCCCATTTCACAGATTGGCAAACTGAGGCTCAGAATAGCTAAGCACTTTCGCAAGGTGGAACATCTCACCATCATTGTGTTCTTGTAGGTTAATGTCATCGCCTTGGTCAATCCTTTCTTTCCCACCTTTCTGTTAGTCTTTTTCTCTTTTTCAGGTGTGAAAAGTGAGAAGCAGACAATGATCAGGGCTGTAAGCTTTCTGTTTTCAGGTTCTGCTTTCTATTTTTTTTCCTTCACTCCTCAATCCAGTTCCTGAAAACCATCTTTAAGAATAAAAATAGTTGACCTATCTCAAAATGGCCAAGAGTGGCTCTGTCCTATAGGGTCACATGTGGCTATTTAACTTTAAATGAATTAAAATGAAAAGTTCGGTCCTTTGGTTGCACTTGCCACATTTTGAATGCTCAAAGGCACATGTAGCTTGTGGCTACTGTGTTGGACTCCATAGATAAAGAACATTTCTACTGTTGCAGAGAGCTAACTGGCAGTGTGGCCGGAGTAGGGTTTCTCAGCCCCAGCCCCACTGGCATTTCAGGCTGGATAATTATCTGCAATGGGAACAGCACCCCTGACCTCTACCCAGTAGCTGCCAGCAGCAACTGTCCCTGGTTGTGACAACCAAAAATATCTCCAGACATTACCAAATGTCCCTTAGAGGGACAAAATTGCTCTTGGTTGAGAGTTGCTGGTCTAGGTGATTAAAAAAAAAGTCATTTCCTTGCACAGAACAAAAGGAAATGGACATATTAAAGTAACAAGAGGGATTGAGGTTTTAACATCAAGAACTTCCTTATTGAGGTCAGGCATGGTGGCTCATACCTATAATCCCAGCGCTTTGGGAGACTGAGGCAGGAGGATTGCTTGAGGCAAGAAGTTCGAGACCAGCTTGGGTAACAAAGCAAGACCCCAACTCTATTTTTTTTTTTAAATAGCCAGGTGTGGTGGTGCCTGCCTGTGTTCCCATGAGGACTCAGGAGGCTGAGGCAGGAGGATCACTTGAGCCTGGAAGTTTGAGGCTGCAGTGAGCTGAGCTATGATTGTGCCACTGCACTCCAGCCTGGATGACAGAGTGAGACCCTGTTCAGAAAAAAAACAAAACAAAACCCAAAACCAAAAGAATTTCCTTGTTGAGATGGTGGTGACAGCATGGATTTGGGAGTCAGCTATACATTTATTCAAAGCCCCACTCTGCCACCTTCTTCCTGGGTTACTTTAGGCAAGTCAGTTGACTTCTCTGAGCCTCAGTTTTCTCGGCTGTAAAATGGGGGTTAATTGTAACAGTTTCTGCTTCCCAAGGATGTAGGGAAGAGAAAATCAGGTAATGCATTGAAAGTACCAGGGTAGGCACCCAGGAAACATGGCTTCCCCTCTTTTGTGGGGGGCAAGGGCTTTGCCTGCAGACAGGAAATCCCGTGACGCTGCTCCCAGGAAGCAGCAGATGGGAGAGATCACCACTTTGGGCCCCCCTAAGCCTGGAGCCTGGCAGACCCTACCCCCAAGCTCCAGGGGGATGCCTGGGTACCCTGCTCTCAGGTTGGGTCCAGCTAGGGTGGGTGTGGCTGATGGGGCCAAGGCTGCAGGGATGCAAGGAAAGTCGGGGGCCGGGGGTCACTCCATCCAGAAACATCCATCAAAACAGAGGAAGGGTCCAGGCAGCTCAATCCCGGAGGAGTGCAAGCCGGGAGCGAGAAAAATTGATGCCTGCAGGAGACAAAAGAGAGCCAGAAGAGTGGCCCCCAGACCTCGCTCCTTCCACAGGTGATAAGATTGATGGGCAGACGAAGGAGGCAGGCTGAGTGATAGATAATTTCAAATTGGCGGTAAACACGGCTGTGGGGACTCGTAGCTTTTCTAAAATGTGACACCAGTGTGGAGGGGAGATGAGGTGACTGATTAGGAAAGAAGACAGCCGGAAACCCTTCTGAGTGGCAGCTGGGCTTGGCGGAGCTGCCTTGAGTGGGAAGCACGTGGGAATGAAGCCCCAGACGGATGGAAATGTGCACAGACCTGGCAGCTCCAGCATATCAGCCTTTGTTTGTGATTTTCTTTCATTTGCTCAACAAATATTTACTGAGCATGTATTATGTGCCGTGGGCTGGGTGAGATGTTGTGGATACAGCCACTGCGAGTGAGACAGATACAGTCACATCCCCAAGGAGCTTCTATTCTTGTGGGAGAGACACTCAGTGAAGAGCTAAAGGAATTAATGAACACGTTAATGTTTAGGTTGTTATGGCTTCTGTGTGAGTCCATTTGCTTTGCTATAAAGGAACACCTGAGGCTGAGTAATTTACAAGAAAAGAGGTTTATTTTGGCTCATAGTTCAGCAGGCTGTACAGGAAGCATGGTGAGGCCTCAGGAAGCTTCCAATCATGGTGGAAGGTGAAGAGAGAGCCAGCATGTTACATAGTGAGAGAGAGAGAGAGAGAGAGACAGAGAGAGAGAGAGTAAGAGAGAGAGAAAGAGAGAGTGAGGGGGAGGTCCCAGCTTCCTTTAAACATCCAGATCTCACAGGAACGAACTGAGCAAGAACTTGCTCATCACCAAGGGGATGGTGCTAGGCCGTTCACAAGGATCTCGCCTCCATGACGACTCAACACCTCACCCCCATGACTCAACACCTCGCCCCCATGACTCAACACCTCGCCCCCATGACTCAACACCTCCACCTCCAACATTGGGGGTCACAGCTCAACATGCCATTTGGAGGAACATATATCTGAACCATGTTAGCTTCTCTGAAGAACATAGGACAAGCAGGGGACAAAAGAGAGTGATGGAGGGGCTACTTTGGTGGGTCGGGGGAGGGACTCAGCCTCCCTGAGTGGGGCTGAGAAATCAGCATTGCAAAAGAGCCAGTCATTCCAAGAGCTGGGGGGATGCCGGGCCTGGTGGCTCATGCCTGTAATTCCAGCACTTTGGGAAGCCAAGGCAGTCAGATCACTTGAGGTCAGGAGTTCGAGACCAGCCTGGCCAACATGGTGAAACTCTGTCTCTACTAAAAATACAAAAATTAGCCTGGTGTGGTGGTGCGTGCCTGTAATCCCAGTTATTTGGGAGGCTGAGGCAGGAGAATCGCTTGAATCTAGGAGACAAAGGTTGCAGTGAGCCGAGATTGTGCCATTGCACTCCAGCCTGGGCGAAAGAGACTCTGTCTCAAAACAAACAGACAAACACCAAAGGGGTGTAGGGAGAGTAGTGTTCCAGATGGAGAGGCAGCTGGCGAAAAGGCCCTGAAGTGGAAATGAACGTGGTGTGTGTTATGGGTTAAGCTGTGTCCCTCAAAAACATGTTGGAATCTTAACTGCTGGTAGCTGTGAATGGCACCTGATTTGGAAATAGAGATTTTGCAATGGAATCAAGTTAAAACTAGGTCACTAGGGTGGGCCCTAATCCAATATGATTGCTGTTCTTATAAGAAGAAGAGAGAGACTAAAGAGAGAGATACTAAGAAGACAGAGGGAGGATGACATGAGGACCCCAGGGAGAAGCCATGTGACGACAGACGCAGAGATGGGAGTGATATGTCTACAAGCTAAGGAACATGCAGGATTGTGGGGTGCACCAGAAGCTAAGAGAAAGACCTGGAGCAGCTTCTCCTTTAGGACCCTGAATGAGAGGGCAGCTCTGCTGACACCTTGATTTCAGGCTTCTAGTCTCTGGAACTGTAGAAGAAGACATTTTTGTTTTTTAAGCCACTTAGCTTTGGTTCTTCGTTACGGCAGCCCTAGAAAACTAGCATAGCATATTTGAGGAGGAAAAAGAAGACTAGGTGGCTGGGGAAGAGGGGAAAATCAATTTTAAAGCCAGATGTGGTGGTGCACATCTGTAGTCCCAGCTACTTGGGAGGCTGAGGTGGGAGGATCGCTTGAGTCAGGAGTTCAAGTCCAGCCTGGACAACATAGTGAAACCCCCATCTCTTACAAAAGACATTGGTTCCCTATGGGGCAGTGTGAGTGAGGATTATTTGAAAAATGAGGGAACTGAGGTCCAGAGAAGAGGTGTGATTGCTAGTTAGGTCAAAAAAGGCACTGCTGCTTCTGCCTTGGGTTGGTCTCCCTGGGGGAAGCTGGCCGCCATGTTGTGAGGACACTCAAGCAGCCTGTGGGGAGGCCCTCTCCCAGCCAATAGCCAGCACCAATTTGCCAGCCAGGAAAGTGTGCCATCTTGGAAGTGGATCCCCAGTCCCAGTGGAATCTTCAGCTGACTTCAGCGTCAGCTGACATCTGACTGCAACATCTTGAAAGACCCTGAGCCTCACTTTTTTTTTTTTTTGAGATGAAGTCTCACTCTGTCACTCAGGCTGGAGTGCAGTGGTGCGATCTCAGCTCACTGCAACCTCTGCCTTCCGGGTTCAAGCGATTCTCCTGCCTTAGCCTCCCAAGTAGCTGAGACTACATACAGGTGCACACCACCATGCCCGGCTAATTTTTGTATTTTTAGTAGAGATGGGGTTTCACCATGTTGGCCAGGATGGTCTTGATCACCTGACCTCGTGATCCACCCACCTTGGCCTCTCAAAGTGCTGGGATTACAAGCGTGAGCCACTGTGCCTGGCCCCGAGCCTAACTTTGTTACTCTCAAATACCCACAGAAACTGAGAGAGAATAAATTGTTGATATTGTAAGCTGCTAAGTTTTGGGGTGATTTGTTATGCAGCAATGGAAAACAAATATACAGCCCCAAAGCCAACAAGTGGCAGGGCTAGGAGGAGAATCTGGGTCTTCCGGTGCCAGGGTCTGTGTGCTTTCTCCTACTTTTTGCTCCAGGCTCAGAATTCCTCTAGTAAGAACCTCTCATTTCTCTCTTTCTTCTTCTGATAACCCTGGGATCAGGAAAGGGATGAGGAAGGAGTAGAGAGCTCTGGCAGCTGGGCTGGGTTGACGGGACTTTCTGTGTCCAGGTCCTGTGAGGATACCATCCAGGATGTCAAAGGAAGACACAGGGAATCCCAGAACCAGGGTTCCAAGGCTCCCATTAGACTGTGGTGACCACAAGCGTCAGGTTTTGAGCTCTGTTCTTTTCTGAAAGCTCTGCTTCAAGTCCCTCCCACCTCTGGTCATTTTCAGCAAATGTAGAATAGTGACACCAGTAGCTATTCTGCATGGGATGCTGAGGATTGGGAGACGGATGCCTCTCCCTTGTCCTTGAGGAGCTTGTGGTCCTTCTGGGGGCAATTTGGTCACTTACAGAAAAATAAAAAGGAGCTAAAGACTGCCCTTGGTATATTGGTTAATTACAGATGCATAACAAATTGACAGCTTAACACAACGACAAACACTGATTATCTTCTGTGAGCCAGAAATTTGGAAGTAGCCCAGCTGGGTGGTTCCAGCTCAGGGTCTCTCATGAGTTGGCTTAAGTTGTCACCTGGGGCTGCAGCCATCTGAAGGCTTGACTGGGGCCAGAGGGTCTATCTGCCTTCAAGGTGTCTCACTCACATGGCTGGCAAGTTGGCTCCTTTCCATGTGGACCTCCCCATAGGGCTGCTTGAGTATCCTACAACATGGCGGCTGGCTTTTCTGAGTGAGTCAATCAACAAAGAAAGAGAGAGCAAGGAGGAAGCCATAATGTCTTTTATGACCTAACCTGGAAAGTCACAATCTGTCATTTCCACAATATCCTCCTGTTTATACAGGTGCGGATAGTGTGGAAGGGGGACTACATGAGGGCATGAACACTAGGAGGCAGAGATCATTAGGGGCCATTGTAGAGGCTATAAAGATATTTCAGAATTCAGCAGTGGATGGATGAGGGAAAGATTGCAGGAGGAGTGACTGAGAGTCCTAAAATTGTGCCACATAGGGGGCCAAGTCCCTGGGGAAAATTCTTTGGTGTCGAAAGATCCAATTCATGCATTTCAAGAAGTTCTTCATCCTCAACAGTAGAGTGCCCTTAAACCCCGATTCCTGGCACGGGACTGCCGAAAGTTGGTCAAATGATAATCAGTTGGGGTTTTAAGGATCTGATTTGGGGCCACAGAGATTTGGGTTCAAATTTCAACTCTATCACTGGCTATGTGATCTTGAGATAGTTGCTTAACCTCTCTGAACCCAAGTTTCTTCATTGGTTAGAAGGGGAAAAATAACTCCCCTCCTTGGCAGGGTTGTTGAAAGGCTTAAATGAGATTGTGCAGGAGAAATATCTAGCACAGCATATGCCCTCTGTAAATGATGGTGACTGTTAGGTTGTTTGCTTCTCTGTGCTCCGTGAGGGGCTGAAGATTCCTTGTGGACAGGCTGCTCTTCTCCCTGGTCTTGCATGCCCCATGGGCCTTTGAGCTGTTGCTTATACCATTTCCCCTGCCAAGGATGAATTCCCCACTTCCTAAGCCCTGTCCAAGTCTCAGCCATAATTTAAGGCTTAGCGTATAGCCTTATCCCCTGTGAAAGAACTTCCCAAGTCACCCAAAGGGAACTCTTTGTCCTTTGAGCTTGCCTAGAACCAGGAGTGCTGGCTGCAAATATAACCACTCTCAAAGAAGTGGCCAGGCCACCATTTGATGGACACATAGATAGTTTCCTCAACAGCAAACTTATAAAGTAACTACTCTTGTTACGTCTGTTTGACAGATGGAAAAACAGAGGTCACGTAACTTACTCAAAGTCACACAGCTTAGGGGTGCGCCTGAGATTTGAACCCAAGTTTTTCTCTTCTCTTAACTGCTACTCTGTTATTTCTAAGAGCAAAGCTTACAGTCAATTCCTTGAAGACAGATGCCTCCTTTGACCTTTGTTCCACTCATTCCTTTATACCTCCCAGAGCTCCTAACACAGAAAGATGCACCTGGAAGCAGCTACTTGTCATCGGCCAAGTTCATTCAATTGCGTTAGACCAGTCGTTCTCAAAGCGTGGTTCCTAGCTCAGCAGCATCACCTGGGGACTTGGAAGAAATGAGAATTCTCATGTCAGACCCCAAAACCTGCGGAATCAGAAGCTCTGAGGGAGGAACCCAGCACTGTGTGTTTTCATAAGCCCTCCAGGGGCTTCTGATGCAGGCCTAAGTTCAAGAGCCCCTGTTCTAGGGAATGACTCTCCTCACATGTCCCGCACTCTGACACAAAGGTGATCCGCTGCTTCAGTGGAACAGTGTCTGTCTTCAACCCATGCAGGGACAATTTCAGGCACTGGGCAGCATTTGTTCATCTTTAAGCTTTTCTCCTCCAAGTCTCTCTTTTGCAAACCTTGACCCCGGCCCCTGCTTGCCAGCCAGACAGCTCTCACAACCACAAAACAAATGACTGAGTGGCAGCAGCTATTGACAGGGAACCCGGTTGCCCTCTATCATGCTTAGTTCAGTAGTTTGTTTGGGAGGTTGTGGCTTGATTACCTGTGTGCCTGTGGCTGAAGTTTTATATTACAGGAGTATAATATCCTCCTGTTTCCTGTTAGAAAAACCACTCCTAGTTTGCACAGTGGGATTAAGTGCCTTAATGTTGCACGGAATTCTGAGAAACCATCATAACTTCTGCTGTGTGCATTTAAGACCTCTGAATTAGAATCTTTCCCTCCCTCCCTCCCTCTCCCCCTCCCTCCCTCCCTTCCTTCCTTTCTTCTTTCCTTCTGTCTCACTTGCCTCCCACAATTCCTTATTGAACATGCTTTTGTTTTAGGCAAATTAAATTAAACCGTTACAAAAATCTTACAGGATTTATTTTATACTCCTTATTTTACAGGGAGCAAAACTGAGGTTTAGAAGTGTTAAAATGGTTTGCTTGAGGATGCACAGGAATGCTCAAGGAGGAGCCGTGGATTAAAAGCAGGATGGCCGGGTGCGGTGGCTCACGCCTATAATCCCAGCACTTTGGAAGGCTGAGGCAGGCGGATCACCTGAGGTCGGGAGTTTGAGACCAGCCTGACCAACATAGTGAAACCCCGTCTCTACTGAAAATACAAAAACTTAGCCGGGCATGGTAGTGGGTGCCTGTAGTCCCAGCTACTCGGGAGGCTGAGGCAGGAGAATCACTTGAACCTGGGAGGCAGAAGTTGCAGTGAGCCGACATCGCCCCACTGCACTCCAGCCTGGTGGGTGACAGAGCAAGACTGAGTCTCAAAAAAAATTAAAAAAAATAAAAGTAAATAAATAAATAAATATATATATATATATATATATATATATATATATATATATATATATATATATATATATATATATATATAAAAGCAGGATGTCTGATTCCAGTGCCCAGGGAGAAGAGAAACCAGCTCTCTGAAATCGGGGGATGTGGGGTGGGGTTATCTAAAAGGCGGTAGCCCTAAAGACTGTCTGCTCCTGTGGAGAGAGGGGAAGAACTGACTTTCTATGAATAGGCACCCTGTGGCAGACACTGTGCCCCACAGTCTATGTTGGTTACAGGGTCATCAAGAGGGCACCATGGGATCCAGTGGGTCTGATCACTCCCATTTTGCAGATGGAGAAGTTGAGGCTCTTAGAAGTTAAGTCCCAGTTGGGTGTGGTGGCTCATGCTTGTAATCCCAGCACTTTGGGAGGCCAAGGCGGGCAGATCATGAGGTCAGAAGATGGAGACCATCCTGGCTAACACAGTGAAACCCCATCTCTACTAAAAATATGAAAAATTAGCCAGGCATGGTGGTGGGCACCTGTAGTCCCAGCTACTTGGGTGGCTGAGGCAGGAGAATGGCGTGAACCAGGGAGGCAGAGCTTGCAGTGAGCCGAGATCGTGCCTCTGCACTCCAGCCTGGGTGACAGCGCGAGACTCCGTCTCAAAAAAAAAAACAAAAAAACAAAAAAACAAAAAAAAAAGAAGTTAAATCTCTTGCCTGGGTCACACACTGGTAAGGTGGCAGAGCTGGGATTTGAACACAGATTTCTAAGTTGATCCAATTCCTTTTCCATGGTGTCATAGATCTTAGCATGAGGTCAGCTTTCCTGAACTGATCTATCAATATGTACAGAGCACAGAGAAGCAAAATCCCTCATTGTCCAGAGAGAAGAGCAAATCCCATCTTAGTCCTTCCCAATGACTCTCATGATGATAATGATAACCACCATCCAATGGGTGTCTGCTTAGATCCGAGGGCTTTACTCTCCATGTGGTCCTCACGGAACCTTGTGAGGTAGGTACCATCATCCCCACTTTACAGATGAGGAGGACAATGAGGCCCAGGGAGGTTAAGTAATTGCCCAAGTTCTCACAGTGAGTCTGTGGCTGGACTTCAGTTGGATCTGCTGCTGGTTCCAAAGCCCATGCTCTTTCTAGGGCTACTATATCAGTCAGCTAATGCTGGGGAACAAACTGCCCCCATATGCAGAAGCTTAACACAACAATCTCTTATTATATTGCACTTCCCTGTGGGTTTAGCTCATCCCAGCTGGGCTTTCTCAAGCTTCTGAGGGTTGGCCTAGAGGCTATATGCTAGGTTGGGCTTGGTTGGGGCACCTTAGTTGGGCCAGCCATGTCCATATCTCTCTCATCTTCTTCCTTGGACCAGAAGGCATGTCCTTTTCATGGCGATGACAGAAGTACAAGAGAACAGGTAGAAACATGCAAGGCTTCTTAAGGCCTGTACTTAGAACTGGGACACTGTTGTTTCTGCAGCATTTGATTAAATTCAACCAGCCATGTGGCTGAACCCAGATTTAAGGGACAAGGAAATGGACTTCTTCTTAGAAGGAAAAACTGCAAATGACAAACAACATGCATATAAGGCAATATAAAGAATTGGGGCTAATGAAATAATTGGCTCTAACTGCTCAGTAGCTTAAGTCTGGATGGAGAGAGAACACTGATCTATATAGCAAATAAGAGTGCACCAGGGGAGACCCCAAGAGGTGAACATTCTCCTGTTTGAGTCTGAAAGGTACAGGCATTTAGAGGAGGTGATCTCAGAGGAATTTTGGGAAAAGAACAGTTTTGAGCAGTTATTGAGGGATGGTGAGGCAGAAAGGAGGAAGGAAATGCATTCAATGAGGCAGGAGACTGAAAGTAGCTTGCAAGCTCTTGAAGGCCAGAGATCATTTTACTCAACGTGTAGCTTTTGGATGGCGAGCTGTGCCTGGCACATAATAGGTGCCTAATAAGGAAGAGTGAAGACATGGGGAGAGTGAAGGGTGAGTGAGGAGGTCATTTTGGGGTGTGGGCTTCCTCCTCCCTAGGAATTTTTGGGAACTTAGTAGACTCTCTGGGCTGGTTTAGGGACAGTCTGGGTCAGAGAAAGGAAAGGACCATGTGACATGGCAGGGTGTGTGTGTGTGTGTGTGTGTGTGTGTGTGTGCACGCGTGCTCTGGCTCTGTCTTTAGCAGTGGCACCAACAAAAGTTCCCACATGTATTGTCTATCTTCTTCTACTAGCTTGTAAGCTGCAGAAGGGCAGGGATTTTTGAAATTTTGTTTGTTGCTTTCCTCTCAGAACCTAGAACAGTAGTACCTGGTCCATAGTAGATGCTCAATAAGTGTCTGTTGAATGAATGAAGGAGTGGATACAAATCTGTCTACAGGGTAGGGGTTATTATTATCCCCATCTTGTAGATGAGGAAACTGAGGCTTAGCGTTTGAGTGACTGAGATGGTACAGGCAGGCTGCCAGACTGTCAAAGTCCAAGGTTTACTCTCTACTCCAAACTGCCCCTAATTTCACAAGCAGCCTGTTAACTGGAACAGCAGACAAAAAGCAAGAGAAAAAATTCTCTTTTAATCCCATGCCATAATTGCTTTCTGAGATTTCGGAGCAGGCCTTATCTATATGCAGATGTCTTGTGCAGGCTTATTTTCTTGTTGGACATACAAGGAGCGGCCACCAACCACTTATTCCAGGAAAACAGGAGTTTGGGGCTCAGATGTTGGGAGGTGCCCTGGATCTGCCCCCCCACCCCCGCAAGTTGCAACTACCCAGGTCCCTCTGTGGAAGCATCAGGCAGGCAATAGCTCAAATTCTTTACACTGAGCCCTTTGTTGGGTACTGTGGCGCTTGGCTATGTCATGAGACAGAGGTGCCCAGGACACCAGAGCAGACATAGTCCACATGTGACTCATGTGACCCCATCTTGGGGCACAGCTTTTGCATGTGAGTTGGTGCAAGTGGGTGTCTGGGGGACAGAATCGTCACACTTCATTCCTTATAATATCCCTTAGCTCCTAATGATAATACTAGCCACCCTGGGCCTCGGTTTCCTTCTCTGTATAATGGGAATAAGTCTCCACTTCACAAGGTCACGGAGGGATTGGATGGTTTAGTGCTCAGAGGGCACCTAGAGCACAGCCTGCATGTACAAGAGCCTGGATGCATTGGTGCTTCTTATGATCACTCTGTCTTGTGCATTTCTTGCTTAACCCATATGGCAGCTTCATGAGCCACATGCTATCATTTTGCATATGACCATATTCAATAACAGTCATAGGCATCTCATTCATCATAGCACAAACTCATCCTCATTGAATGCTTACCCTCTGCCACGTGTGCTGTGCTAAGTTCTGTACGTGGACTACTCATCGAATCTGAGAATCTTACTATTCCCATTTTTACAAATGAGGAAACTGAGGCACGGAGGGTTTTGATGACTTGTCTACTGTTGTACATCAAGCCTGTGGCTGGGCCCCGTGCACACACTTCCGGCTTCCCTTCTCTGCTGTTGTCTTCCTTCCTGGGATATAGCCCTCAGTGGGAACTGAGCAGGCCCTTTGCCCACTGCTGGGCCCCAGAAACGAGAGAGCCTAGCCCATGTGCTGACCCAGGCCTCCCTCCCCAGGCCCCAGCCCTCTCTGCCCTTCTAGTGTCCTTGACCCTGTGTGGCGAGGGGTCACCGCCTCATCTGTATGGCTCCCACAGAAAGCCAGCGACGGCTCCCAATGCATCACGGAGTGGCAGTCACGCCAGAGCCGGGGTGTCATTTCCATCCATCTTTCTCCAACCGCTCCCTGTCACGAAGCAAGGGAGGTCGGGGTGTGGGGGGAGGAAGAGGGGAAGATGGATGGGGTGGGGGCTGAGAGGCAGGGATGGGAGTGGGAAGGGAGGAGGGAGCGGAGGAGGAGGAGAAGAATGGAGGGGAAGGAGAAAAGGGGAAAAGAAGGAAGAAAGGCCCCAGGGGGAGAGATTGCTGAGTAAGGGAGATGAGGAAAGAAATGAGAAGGGAGGAGAGGACGCTGTGAGCTAGAAGGAAGTGGCCAGCAAGAGAACTAGGAGAGGGAGGCAGAGGGAGGAGGGGATGGGAGAGAGAAGCAGAGAAGGCTGAGGAGGGACGCTGGGGAAAGAGGAGTGTGGGAAGAAAATGCAGTTTTAAGGAAGGTGGAAAGGCGGCAGAAACTGGAGGCAGGGAGGCAAGGAGAGGCGACTTGGACTGCCCCAGCCTGTTTGTTTATTTGTTTTCTCAATTCCAACAGCCTCCCCCCGCTCTGTAGCCCTGGGCAAAGTCTAAATCAAAGCAGAGGTGGGAGGGGAGCTCCTAGCAGATGCGCCTGCAGGGCTGGGCCCTGAGCTGTCCCCAGACCCCAGAGAGGGGCCTGACAAATGGAGGGACCTCAACTAGGGCTGCTCAATGTCACTGCTCCATGAGGTCTCTCATCCTCCACCAGGCTTGTGGGGTTCTTTGCATGATGGTCTCAGGATTCCAAAAAGCAGCAAGTTAGGGAAAGCTCTAATGCACAAGCACGTTGTAAGACTCCACTCACATCATATTTACTAATGTCTCATTGGCCAAAGCAAGCCACGTGGCCAAGTCTAGCTTCAAGGGAGAGAGAAATGGGGGAGCGACATCCTCAATCCCCACTTGTCTTGGGCCAAGCTGGCTTGGGCTCTCATGAAGGCATTGCCTCTTGAGAGGGCATGTCTATGCCTTCATTTGGATCACCTGCCATGCTCCTTCTCCCTTTTGAAAACCCTATCCATTCCTCAACCTCTCCTTGTTCAGGAGATCTCCTCTGATTCCTTCTGCCTAGGGAGGGGTTCGCTTTGACCTCAGGATTTAGTACTTAACTTGTAGTTGTGGGGTGGTATCCCAAACTGAAATGAACACAAGGTTCAAACTGATATGAACCAGGCAGGTAACATACATGAAGGTGGCTGGTCAGGTTCACCTTAGGGCAATAGGGAATGGTGGGGATGGGGGCAAACTGGAGAGTGCACATATCTCCCAACAGAGTCCCGGGAGGAAACAGATGACATCCTCAAATTAGGATAATCCAAAAAGGTTTATATACAAAGGGATACATTACAAAGGTGTGGGGGCCTTGGAGGCAATCTAAAGAAATAGATCCTCCTCTCTTGGGAGTGGTGGGGGAGTAGCAGAGGAGCCATTACCACTCTTAGGCCAAAGGGATGAGAAGCGAGTGGGAAGGGAGGGAGCCAGGAGACTGAGTAACTAAACACCCTACCCTCACATTCTTCCCACCCTCCAGTTTCCTACTGGTGCCTCCCATTGGCTGAATCCAACCATGAATCAGAGAGAAGGGAGCCCATTGGTGAATCCATGTTACTCCATCTCCCATGACAAGGACTGGGTAGAAAAAAGTGGAGAATGAAAAGGAGGACAAGCCGATTATATCTGGGATAGTGTGTCCCACCTGAAGATGTTGACATTTATTATATTTTAAATACTATCATCTAAGCATACTCTAAAATTCCTTCCTTGACCCACTAGTTTGAGATGTTTTTCTATCCCCTGTCCAACACACACTCCATGAATTAGTCAAGGCTTCCCTGTTGTATTCTAACCTTCTCGAAGACAAGGATTCGGTGTCGCATGCTTTCTCTAATCTCTACAACACCTTACACATAGTAAGGTGCTTAACATGGTGGATAGTGGATTTCTAGAATTAGTGAATTTAACATTAGTAGCTTCATCTGAATAACCTGGAGTCTTTGCACAACACAGTAGTAATTTATTTTGTCAAGGCAGGAATTTAAATCTCACATGCATAAGTGAGCATCATTCAGCTATGGAATGAGCCTAGCAACCACCCAGAAATCATATTTCATTACCTCTATTTTCTGCTCAGTAAATCTGGTTAATGGATCCAAACTTTTTTCTTGAAAAATCACTTCAAAAAATAAACTAACTTCAAGTCACTGATGAGGCAAGTGTATCAGTTAGCTTTTGCTGTGTAACAAGTAGGCACAAAATGTGGTGGCCTAAACCAACACCAATTTTATTTTGCTCTTGATTCTGTGGGTTGGCTGGGATGGCTAGAACGGCTTTCTTGGTCTGGGCTGGCTTAACTGGGGCTGCATAGTCTAGGATGGCTTCACTCACACATCTGGCAGGTGGTAGGCTATTTGATCCAGGGGACCTCAGCTAGGGCCTGCCTCACTCATCACTGATCCATGTGGTCTCTCATCCTCCAGCAGGTTTGTCTGGACTTCTTTGCATGATGGTCTCAGGGTTCCAAAAAGCAGCAAGACAGGGAAAGCCCTAATGCACAACCGCCGTTTAAACCTCTGCTCACTTCATATTTACTAATCTCTTATTGGCTAAAGCAAGCCACATGGCTGAGTCTAGATTCAAGGGAGAGTGGGGGGGAAATGGACTCCACCTCTTGGTGGGAAGGAAGCAAAGATTTTGTGGCCATTGCTGCAAATGACCATAAGGAATGAGCTCAAGAGAAGGGGTCTAAACTTGCTGTTGCAGGCACATTGGCCTCTTGAGTCCTCTGAGCATATCAAGCTCTTTCCTGCCTCAAGGTCTTTGCTCTTGTCTTCTGTTGCCTCGCAATACTCTTCCTATAGCCCTTGAAAAAGCTGATTTTGTCTCATATTTCAGCTGCAATGTCAGCTTCTCAGAGAGTCCTTTCTGACCCCTCTCTTTCAATAAGCCTCCTTTAACATTATCAATCAAAGCATCTTGTCCTTCTCCACCAGTTGTATGGAGTTAATACAACTTTTTTTTTTTTTTTTTTTTTTTTTTTGAGACAGAGTCTCACTGTGTCAGCCTGGCTGGAGTGCAATGGTGTGATCTTGGCTCACTGCAACCTCCACCTCCTGGGTTCAAGCGATTCTCATGCCCCAGCCTCCCAAGTAGCTGGGACTACAGGAGTACGCCACCATGCCCAGCTAATTTTTGTATTTTTAGTAGAGACGGGGTTTCACCATGTTGGCCAGACCGTCTCAAACTCCCGACTTCAGTGATCCGCCCACCTTGACCTCCCAAAGTGCTGGATTTACAGGTGTGAGCCACTGCGCCTGGTCATTAAAGACTTATTTATTGTTCGTGTCTCCATCCTTCCACCTTACCATCAGCTTCATGGGGTTGGGGACTTTGTCTAGTACAGTCTTCACGGTGCCTTGCACACAGTAGGTGCTTGACAAATATTAGATGAGTGAAAGGATGATTCAAAGAAAGAAAAATAACAATAAATGATGTTGCTCTTATAGAATCATTAAGCATATAAAAGGGAATGTTGAATTTTTTTTATTCTTAACCACATTTTATGGGAGAAACAGGCTATAGTGTGAGCTTGGGAGTTTGTAATCCCTCCTTTTCCACCCCTGTAGGATATGATTCTTGGGGACATGTTTTTTGGGTCTTCTCTCCACACTTCTGAGGGTTTGAGAATAGGCAGCCCTGGTTGTTGGGGAGAGGTTAAAGCTTCAAAAGTTTATCAGTTAGCTTATGATGTGTAACAAATTTCCCCTGAATTTAAGGTTTTTAAACTACAACCAATTATTATTGCTCACTATTTTATGGGTCAACTGAGTGTTTTCTTCAGGCCATGGCTGGGCTTCCTCATACATCTCTGGACAGCTGTGGTCCAGCTTTGCTGACGTGGCTTTGTTCTTTCACATCTGGGACCTTGCTGGGGCCATGGGACTGGTCTATGGTTGGTCTATTTTGTCTCTCATCCTCCAGTAGGCTGGTCTGGGTTTCTTCATATGCTGATGGCAGGACTCTGAGAGGGAGAGAAGAAGCTATGAGGCGTCTTGAGGCCTCAGCTTGGATCTGGTTGAACTTCACTCCCTCCACATTCTGTTGGCCAAAGCAAGTCACAAAGCAGCCCAGAAAGGGCCAGTGGTCTCCGTTTTTGATCGGAAGAGCAATGTCATATTGAGAAGGGAATGGAAACATGGAGTGGGGAGAAATGAAAGCATTTTCACAAACAGTCTGAATAAATAGGGGTTGGGATGGCCTCTAGGGCAGGGCTGTTCCCTGGTTGAAGAGCTGGTGCTGTCCAAGACCTCTCTTGGGCAGTATCTGGCCATTAGCTCTCTGCACGAATCTTTCTTAGAGCATCTGTCCCAGTATGCTGTCATTATGCATTTGTCTGTCTCTGGACTGTGAGTTCTGCCAGACCCAGGCAGAGGCCCCAGCTTATCACCCATGCATCATTGTCAATATACTTCAATGGCTCCACATTGCACTAGAATTAAATTCAAACTCCTGGCCTCAGCCCACAAGGTCCTCCTTTGGCCTGGCTTCTGCCTGCCTCCCCTTCTTCCTTCTGTGCCCACCCACTCTCTCACCACTCATCTCTTTCCAATGCTGTGCTAGGTCAACCTCATTCCTGCCTCAGGACCTTTGCACTTGCTGTTCCCTTGGATGGGTCGTATCTCCCTGGCTCCTGGCAGGGAGAGATCTATATCCTCCGTTAGGGCTCAGCTCAAATGTCATCCCTTGAGAGAGGCCCTCCCCCGCCACTCAGATCCCCCTTGTTATTATTTTCTTTTTATCATAGCACCTGTTTCTTTCCATAACAGCATAATTTACATTTTTATTTATCTATGCGTTGATTTGTTTCCTGTCTACCTCTCCTTTCTAGACTGTCAGCTCCACGAGGCCAAGGACTTCACCTGTCTTAATCCTTGATAGTATCCTTGGTGCCAAGAAGAACACCTAGGACATAGCAGGTGCTCAGTAAACATGGCTTAAATGATAGATGGATGGATGACTTCTTTTTTTTAAGGGTTTTTTTTTTAATTAAAACTATTAATGCACTTAGGGATGAAAGACCAGAGGTGCTCCCCAACTCTATTACTGTTTCTTCCTCCCATGAGGCTACTACATCGAACATTTTATATATATATATATATATATATATTAAAATTATATTTTAAGTTCTAGGGTACATGTGCACAACGTGCAGTTTTGTTACATATTTATACATGGATGGATGGATTACTTCTACATGTTTTCCTAACACACCAGGTGTTTTGATGGTTAAAACCTTCCAGAGTCTAACAGATCAAGGTTTGAATCCTGGCTTTGCCACTTTCTCGCTGTGTGACTTTAGGTGAATTTCTTAACCTCTCCTGGTCTCCATTTCTTTCCAATTGTTTTCAAATGAAAAGAATAATAGTCCATCCCTTGTAGGGTGGTGGGAGGAGTCAATGAGATAATCACAGAAGGCACTTAGCATAGGACCAAGCACTGCAATATTAGTAATCACATTGTCTTACTTAGTTCTCACACTCACTACCGTGTGAAGTAGGTATCACACTGTTTCCATTTCACAGAAGGGGTGACTGAGGCTTGGGAAGTAAGGGGCCTTGTGGTTACAGGGTCGAGAGGGCAGTTTGGGGATTGATAGTCGCATTTGCCACAGAGTTGGGGTGCACCAAGTAGTTGTTCTCTTCTCTCCGCCAGCCAATGCCTGGGTGGGTGACGGGGCCAGTAGAAAGCAGGGCAGGAGGGAGTGGAGGAGGAGACTGGGGGCGGCTGGAGACCTTAGAGGTTGGGAGTGCCAAGCTTGGAGCTGGAGCCCTAGTTCTGCCACTTCGTAGCTGTGTGTCCTTGGGCAGTGGCTTAACCTCTCTGAGCCTCATTTCTTCATCCATAAGGCGGATTTAATAACAAACCTTGTAAGGCCAGGGTGAGGCTTGGATAGTGCATGTGACACAGGCAGAGGGACCGGCTCAGTAACTGTGAGAGGTCCTGTCCCCACCCTGGTTTTGCAGCCAGGAGATGCAGCATCCGAAGGAGGAGGAAGACAAGCACCTTCCCCATTGCGGCCTGGGCGTCTGCATCCTGAAGTTAAGGCATTTGGGGCACTGCGAAGAGCAACTTGAGCAATTCTTCTGTGTTGTCTCTGCTCAATGATGTCCTGGAGAGAATGGAGGGAACCAGGGACCCTGACTTTTCTTGTCTTCTCCACCTTGCCTGGTGCTGGTAACCATTCAATAGGGGACCATTTCTCCAAAAGTGAGTTTCTTAGCCCTCCAAAAGCACACATGGGCTTGGTCTCCGTGCAGCAGTTTCAGGCATCATCCCAGGGACCAAACTCTGGAATGGGAATTAAATGAGTCTCTACCCTCCTCCGGGGTCTCAGGAACCCCAGAGGGCTGAGGGGCAAGTGATGGAGACTCTTTCTGGAGCAGGGATGTCCCAGGGGATGATATGGTAGAAAGAGCACTGGATTGGGATTTTTTTTTATTTCCCATGTGGATTTGGGGAGTTATAAATAACACTGCATGAACATCTTTGTGCATTGGTCTTTTAACTTCTGAGGATTTTTTTTTTAGCGTTAATTTGCAGGAGAGGGTTTTACGCATGGAATGGGGTGCTATTATTCCCTGTCAACCCATTTATTCTCCCTCCTTTTTTTTTTTTTTTTTTTGAGACAAGGTTTTACTCCCGTCGCCCAGGCTGGAGTGCAGTGGTGCGATCTGAGCTCACTACAACCTCTGCCTCCTGGGCTCAAGTGATTCTCCTGCCTCAGCCTCCCGAGTAGCTGGGACTACAGGCACATGCCACGACGCCCAGCTAATTTTTGTATTTTTAGTAGAGATGGGGTTTCACTATGATGGCCAGACTAGTTTTGAACTCCTGACCTTAAGTGATCTGCCCGCCTCAGTCTCTAGTTGCTGGGATTACAGGTGTGAGCCACTGCCCCTGGTCTCTCCCTCCTCTTCTGTCCTGCTCTGTGCTCTGGGAAGCTGACCCGTATATTTTATGGGCTCCCTTGCTGTCTGGCTTATGTTGGGTTTGGCCAGTGGGAGGGCACCGTTGGAGGGCAGGAGGAGAGAGAGGTTGGGGTGTTTCTTCCTGCCTCCTTCCTTGATTCTGCAGTGTGGCTTGGACCATAGTTCACCCTCCAGACTATCCCTCCTGTGGCCCCTCCTCCAGCACTGGGCTTTATCAGGGCCATTTCATCCCTCTGCCCCTTCAGCACTGGGGAGTGGGTGATGGTGGGGGGTGGGGAACAACAGCTCCCCATTGTTGCTAGTCTCTGGGTCCCTCTACCTTTCTTGTTGGTTCTGTTAACCCTCCTGACATCTCTGTAAATAGTCCTTTCATTAAAATATTTTTATTTGAACCATCTGGGGATGAATTCCATCTCTTTCTAAGACTCTGACTGAGCTGGCATGGTGGCTCATGCCTGTATTCCCAACACTTTGGGAACAGAGGCAGGAGGATTACTTGAGCCCAGGAGTTCGAGACCAACCTGGGCAACATCATGAGATCCCATCTCTCCAAAAAAAAAAAATAAATAATAAAATAAAATAAAAAATAGCTGGATGTGTTGGTGCATGCCTGTGGTCCCAGCTACTCAGAAGGCTGAGGTGAGAGTATTGCTTGCGCCCAGGAGGTCGAGGCTGCAATGAACCATGATTGTGCCACTGTACTCCAGGCTTGGTGACACAGTGAGACCCCCTCTCCAAAAATAAAATAAAATTTAAAAGACCCTGACTGATACGTGGTTTATTGCATTGAAGGACACATCTATGATCATATTTACAAGTGGATTTCCACAAGTTTGTGCCAACTGACCCTGCCGTTAATGAAGTTTGCTTGCACCATTGATCAGCAACGTCCTAAGTTTTGGTTGTTATGGATTTTAAAAACCCCATCAATTTGTACGAATAAAAACAAAACAAAATAAAACCGCTTTCACTGATACTAATGCTTTAAAAAAATAGTATAAGAGTTAGAAGTGGCATCTCCAAGTGGAAATTTGTTCACTAGTGTCCATTTTGTCCCCAGGGGACAGTTACCAATGCCTGGAGACATTTTTGGTTGTCTCCAAAATGGGGGAGGGGGAAGGGGCTACTGGGACCTCATGGGGAGAGGCCAGGGATGTTGCTAAACACCCTCCAGTTCACAGGACAGCCCCTCAACAAAAAGTATCCGGCTCCAAATGCGCAAAGGTTGAGAAACCCTCAGCTACCCTTTGCCCACGTCTCAGTAGAGAGTAGAACATATTTGCTCCATGAATAGACACATGCCAGTCATTTTTCTTTCCTTTGCTGAGATCATCCGGTCACATTCTTTGACCAGGGGTGTGAGATTTGGTAAATCCAGCTCCAGGCCCAGCTTGGTCATTCACTTGTTTCGTGATCCGGGCTGATGTTTCACATCAAGTCAGTAAAGCCTTTTCTCCTTGTCCTGTACCCACATTGAGCTTTAGTGAAGACCAAATGGGGTATTGGGCAGGAAACGATTTGGAAAAGTATAAGGTGCCTTACAAATCAAATCAGGCTATACTTTCTAAACTCCTACTATGTGCTGGGGGTTCAGATCAGGAATTCACTGTCCTAAAAATGAGGCCACTAGCCATATGGTGGCCTATGGCCAGAGGCTGCTCTCTCTGAGAAGCATCCTCAGAGTGGGCTGGGAAGGCCTCCTGAAGGAAGGGTGACTCATACTTAAACTTGAGTTTGTATGGTAAGATTTACAGGAGTCAGACTTCCTGGGGTCAAATCCCACCCCAGGCACCACCACCCAATGGCTATGTTACTTCAGTCAAGTGACCTGGTCTATTCATTTGTAAAATAGAAAATGAAATAATAGCTCCGTTTCAGTTATCTATTGCTACATAAGAAAACACCTCAAACCTTAGTGGCTGAAAACAACAATGATTTTTTATTTTTCACAATTCTGTAGGTTGACTAGGCTCAGCTGGGAGACTCTTCAATGTGGTGTCTGCTGGCGTCACTTGTGTGGCTGCATTTATGTGGTAGCTGGACTGCATGGGGAGGTCCAAGAAGGTTGTACTTAAGTGTCTTGTGCCTGCCTCAATGCTCCTCCATGTGACCTCTTACACCTCATGGTTGGCTTTGGGCTTCCTCACAACATGGTGGTCTTAGGGTAGTCAGGCTTCTTACATGGAACGTGGCTTCAAAGAGGAGAAAGTAGACTCTACCAGTCCTCTTCAGACCTGGGCTTGAAAAATCTCAGAACATCTTTTCTGCTTCATTCTAGGGGTCAAAGCAAGTCACAAGGTAAGACTAGATTCAAGGAAAACCGAATGTGTGAACAGGAAGGGAAGGAATCCATGCTGGCTACCTCTGGAAATAATCTATCATGTTATCTGTCTCATAGGATTGTTGTTGAATAATGTCATATATGGGGTGTACTTTGTTAACTCTCTGAAAATATAAGTTAATTTATTGTTGAAAGATGTTTCAGGAAATGGGGTACAGGTAGTAAGTTTGTCCTATATTCTCAAGGCTGCTGGTTTGGATGGGACATTCCCCAGGTCATTTAGTTTCTTCCTCGTCTCCATGTGTTACCTGAGTTATCTCAGACTTAAGTTTTCAGAGGTAACAATACTAGCAATGCTAACTCTTATAGAATGCTCTCTATGTACCAAATGTTTTACCTATATTATTATTATTATTATTTTTGAGACAGAGTCTCACTCTGTTGTCCAGACTGGAGTGCAATGGTGCGATCTCTGCTCACTGCAACCTCTCCCTCCCAGGTTCAAGCAATTCTCATGCCTCAGTCTCCCGAGTAGCTGGTATTACAGGTGCCCACCACCATGCCCGGCTAATTTTTGTATATTTAGTAGAGACAGGTTTTCACCATGTTGGCCAGGCTGGTCTTGAAGTGATCTGCCTGCCTCAGCCTCCCAAAGTGCTGGGATTGGGTGTGAGCCACTGCGCCCGGCCCCTTTACCTATATTAAGCATATTTAATTCTCACAACAACCCTTTGAGGTAGGTCCTGTTATTACCCCATGTTACAGAAAAGGACACTGAGTCACCAAGAGATGAAGTGATTTGTCCAAGGTTACACAGGTAGGAAACAGCAGAGCCCAGGATTTGAACCCAAGCCATGCTTAATCATTGTATTAGTTATCTATTTCTTTATAACAGATGACCACAAACTCAATGGCTGTAAAGAATAAACATTTATTACCTCACAGTTTCTGTGGGTCAGGAATCAGGAGCAGCTTAGCTTGGGCCTCTGGCTCAGGGACTCTCATAGGTCCAATCAAGGTGTCAGCCCGGGCAACAGTCATTTCAAGGGTCACTGGGGGAAGCTCTGCTTCCAAGCTTGCTCATGGGGCTGTTGGCAGGTTTCAGGTTCTTACCAGCTTTTGGCTGGAGACATTGTTCCTTGCCTCAGGGGCCTTTTCTAGGGCTGCCCACAATATGGCAGCTTGCTTCTCTTAAAGCCAGGGATCTCAGAGAGGGAGCAAGCAAGTCATAACCTTTTTCCAACTGAATCTTAGAGGTGACATCCCATTTCTTTTGCCATAGTGCCTTCATTAGAAGTGAGTCACTAGGTCCAGCCCACTTTCAAGGGATGGGAACTACACAAGGGAATGAATACTGGAAGGTGGGGAACTTTGGGGACATCTTAAGGCAGCCACCTTATGAGGCTGCTTGCCACAACCACTGTACTCAACTCCTGAAACACCACAGCTGCCCTCAGTAATAGTCAGCAATTGCTTAAATGTTCTGGCTGCTTTAGCATATTCATTACAGTGTCCTAAAAAAAAGGCCAGGGCAGATGCCCTGAGTGCCCCACAGAGTTCCCCAGGCCTCGGTCTCTGTCTTCCAGGAAATAATAAGCAAATACAGAGGTTGTTGATTCAGGTGTGGATGGATTGGTTGCTAGTGAGAGACTCCCAGAGAGGAGTAGATGTCATTTGAAAAATTAGTAGCATTTGGAAAAAGAGCTGAGCCTGTTGTTTTCCTTACACAAACTATGGAGTAGAAAGATGAACAGAATCTCCTTGGTTTGTGGGGACGCATAGATGGAAGGGCAGAAATTCTCAGCTGTCGATGGGTGGGCATTCTTAGACTCTTGGGGAGGGGAGGGGGGAGGATTTTGTGTTATGAAAAGGCTGAGAAATGCACATCTAACCCTAATTCTTTACAGTGTTGCCCTGGATTCCTCTTACTTTAGAACAAGGTGATTTTTCCCAGTTCAGAGAGAGGTGACCATTGGTCAATGCAGTTCTGGTCATTTCTTAGCCCCCGAACACCTGCATCCTCAGAGCTGGGGCCTCCTCTGTGGGATGGGCTGGATAATGGTGGAGGGAAGGACCTGGTTGTGCTGGGGAAATATGCCAGAATGATTGGAGACAGCCATGCCTGGGAGGTAGGTCTCCAGGCGGTGGGGATGCTGGTTCCTGTTTCTGCATTTTCCTGTGAAAAGTCTTTCCTGTATCAGTGCCTTCATACACTGCCCTAGTGCAGACAGAGATCCACAGTGGTTTATCCACTTTGCAATCTTCCTCCCCACCCCTCAGCAAACCTTCTATATTTCACCAAAACAAAAGACTAAGACCATGTGGATCTGGCCTCTGTTGATGTCCTTACCACCTGGTTCACTTCTCTCCCAGATCTATTCTCAGAGGAGTCCAGCAGGAGCTGGGGATGTGAGCATGAGATTTCTCCCTATAGCCCAGTTGAGCCACCAGGAAAGACCAAAATCCTTCACCCTTTCCCCTTTTCTTCCCATCACTAGCATCTGCACCACTCACCAGTGAGGGCAGCGAGCCAGGTAGGTGGCCGGAGGAGTGGGGAGGGGCAGCCTCACCCAGGATGGGGCTGGGAAGGAAGGAGTGAAGTGGTGTAGGGTACAAAGAGCTTGGAACAAAATTAGGACCAGTGATCGGAACTTTCCTTACAAAAGGGAGAGGGGTCTTGAAATGGTCTCTTTTTCCCACTGGCTAGGTTGCAGGAAGAATGTTTGTAGATCAAGTTCCTTAAGCCGGCACTACTGAAACTTTCTCTAGTCTTGGGAAAGGTGGGAGTAAAGTGGGGATGGAAACATCAGCAGCAGGGGCTGCAGGTAATAACAGTGACAACAACCACAACTTCTAACTGTCTCGAGCACATAGCATGTGCAGGGCATGCAATCCTCACGCCATGCCACAGGGAGTGACCGTCCTGCTCGATGTCCCCAGCTACATCTGCGGAAACTGAGTGACAGGACACAGAAATGACTTGTTCAAGGTTACATAACTTCGAAGTGTCAGAGGAAAGAGTTACACATAGTCCTGTTTGACTCCAGTGTGAACGCTGCCAACCACTAAGCTATGCCTTCTATGTCCTACATCTTGGTGGGATTGGTAAATTTGTTCGCAAAGCTGTGTTCTTTTGCAAAAATATAAACTCAGCCCTTGTTGTTTCTGCTGAAGGCTGGGTACTCCCACATAATTCCCCACTTTCCCCACCACAGTCCTTGGCATGCTCTATTTTAGGTCTCAGTGCAACAGGTTCTCTTCTGCATGTCAGTATCCTCAGCACAGAATGGGCCAGGTAAAAATGCCATGGACGTGCAGCCATGTTGTGCACAGAGGCACACATAGTTGGTGCTAGGGAAATATTTGCTCAAGAATTGAATGGAAGGCACCTGGGTCTGTCTTGAGCTGTCTTGAGCTAGGGGCATTTTTGTCTCTACCTTTTTTTTTTTGGCAGGGTCTCAGTCTGTTGCCCAGGCTGGAGCTGGGACTACAGGTGCACATCAACATGCCTGGCTAATTAAAAAAATTTTTTTGTAGGGATATGATCTTGCTATATTTTTCAGGCTGATCTTGAACTCCTGGGCTCAAGTGATCCTCCTGCCTCAGCCTCCCAAAGCACTGGGATTACAGGCGTGCGTTAGCATGCCTGGCCTTTCTTTACATTTGAACACAGGGTTGTTTGACATGATGGAGTCGTCTTACATGGTGAGGGTGGACATTCTACATCGGTCCCAGTTTTGGTCCAAGCTCCTTGCACCCCTCACTGCACTCCCTCCTTCCCAGCCCCATCCTGGGTGAGGCTGCCCCTCCCCCCTCCCCTGGCCACTTACCTGGGTCACTGCTCTCATAGGTGAGTGGTGCAGATGCTAGTGATGGGAAGAAAAGGGGAAAAGATTAAGGATTTTGGTCTTTCCTTGTGGGTCAACTGGGCTATAGGGAGAGATCTCACACTCACATCCCCAGCTCCTGCTGGGCTCCTCTGAGAATAGATCTGGGAGAGAAGTGAACCAGGTGGTAAGGACATCAACAGAGGCTGGATCCACAAGGTCTTAGTCTTTCATTTTGGTGAAATATTGAAGGTTTGCTGAGAGAGAGAGAAGGAAGCAGATAAACTGCTGTGGATCTCTGTCTGCATTAGAGCAGTGTATGAAGGCACTAAAACAACACGCACATGCACACACACTTGCATACACACACGTGTGCAAGTATGCGTGCACGCGCACACACACACACGCACTTATTTTTCTCTACTGGATTGTAAACTCCAGATACTCCATATACATATCTGATCATATGTCTCTTATAGGGACAGCACCATAAAATATTTGAAATGAAAATGGCCCCAGAGGATGGGGGATGTGTGGCTGCTTTTCAGACTGACCAGAAACATATTCTAGAAAAGTTTTCCCCTGTAGGCAATATTTTCTTATGTCTTCCCACCTGTGACTACCATCTCCTTCCTCTCCATCACCACTTATACAAGGGTGAAGCCATCAGTGTTCAGCTGGTTTACATGCTCCTCCCCCCATAGAAACACACACACACACACACACACACACACACACACATATTTCCACTCTACATGCATGCACGCACATATGCACTCATACAAAGGAACACACACAGACACAGACCATACACAAGTCACCTGGACACATGCAGCCAAACACTTGTAAACACAGAGTCGAGGTACACAAAGACACAGGCTACCCATACAGGCCTATATATACACAAGTGCTACAAGCAGTGGCCACACTCAACACACACACACACACGCACACACTACAAGTAATCTTCACGTGATTAATCACTCCTTCTTGTGTGTGTGCGTGTGCGTGTGTGCCTGTGTGCGTCCCAGCATCCCCCTGGAAGGCACACGCCGGCCGGCCACCACTTGAATTAGCACCAAAGGATTATGGGACCCTGGGCCATTAATCTAGGTGACAAACAGGACTCAGAAGGCATATTTGCACCCCAAAATTGAAAAGATTAGGCCATATTTGTCAAGGATTGGTAGGGCTTTATCGCCTCCATGGCAGATGCTGTTAAATATTCATGAGCTGCATAAGTGGGAGAAACCCTAGCTAGACCGGACGACTTTCAGCTGTAGAGGGAGAGGAGGGGGATATTTATCTGAACTCGGCAAGGGATGAAAGGTATGGGATCATGTACCCTCAGTCGCTGGGCACAACACGCCACTGTTGGGGGAGGGGCTCGGGCGGGGCCTCCTGGGCTTCTTTGTGAGGAAGAGGAGGAGGCTTTGGGCTGGGCCAGACCGGGGAGGGGTGATGGTGGGGGAGGCAGGAGATTGTTCCTCCCTGGACTCTTATATTGCTGTGTCGTGGGTAATTGCTTACTTGGCTGCTGCCCCCTAGTAGATGGGGAGCTCCCCAAGGGGTGCACCTGTGACTTCCACAGCTCCCTACTTCCCCAGTGTCCAGCCCCATGCTCAGTGCATACTCAGCAGGCATTTAAAGGTGGAGAAAAATACCTTTTATCTGGAAAGTGCCCCATCAAAGAAGGAGGTATAGGGGGTCTCACCTCTCATCCCAGGGCTGTTTCTGAGATTGTCCTGGAAGCCAGTCTTGGCATATGGGTGCACTACCGGGATTAAGAAAGGGAATGTGGAGTCAGACACCCCCAGGCACAATCCCTGGATCCATCACTTCTTAGTTTTCGGAGCTTGAACAAGTCACTTAATGCCCCCATGCCTCCACTTCATCTGGAAAATGGATTTGATAACAATAGCACTGACCTCCTTAGGCTATTGGAGGATTAAATCAAGCTATGAGTGTCTGGCATATAGCAAGTGCTCAATAAATGGCAGCCAATATTGTAGGAAGACTGTGATTTACAGAAGGGTCATTCTGTGCCAGTCACCATGCTCAGTTGGTACAAGCTCAACAGGGAACCTGGGTAATAGGCAAAAATTAGATGGTGCAACTATGCTGCCTAATTAGGTAGATAATAGCATTTAATTTAAAGTTAAATTAATTAAAATTAAAAATTCATTCCTCAGTCATACTAGCCACATTCCAAGTGCTCAAGAGCCATGGTGGCTACCATATTGGATAGCACAGGTTCAGAACACTTCCACCATTGCAGAAGGTTTCATGGACAACATGGCATGTAATCTTCTCCAGCTCAGAAGAGTGGAGATTCTAGTGAACTGCTTGACCCAGTTTTGCTGGACTTAATTTGAACCTTGGAGGATAAATATGTCAAATATGTTTGGCAAATTCTGGGTCAAAGAGTAATTGATCCGTGGGTCCTGGCTGTTGTGAACAGAATATATAGAATTCCACCTGTGATTGGCCACAGAGCATTTCCCCAGCTCAGAGCATGTCCTGGGAGGAGAGTTCCCTAAAATGCACTTTGGGAAACATAGTGATAACACTAATTTCCAGGAAGGTGTTCTGGGCTGACTGTAACTAAAAATAGGCAACAGTTTCCAGGAGCATTTATACTTGCATATTTCATTATAATTAGTTGTGTGTGTGTGTGTGTGTGTGTGTGTGTGTGTGTGTGTGTGTGTGTGTGTGTATCAGTCTTCCCTGCTGTCATGAGCTCTTCAAGGGCTCTAAGTTTTCTCTACATTCCACCAGCACAGTGTCAGGCACACAGAATATCATTCATTCATTCATTCATTCATTCAATGAACGTCTATCGAGCACTTACAGCAGACACTGTCAGGGTCTTTGCTTCTACTTGGGGAAGGAGGTTTACTCTTTGCCCAAGGACTTTCTTTTTGGTGATGGGAGCAGGCTGGCTGGGCAAACAGCTTCAGCCAATGGCAGACCAATGCTCAGCCTTTCTCAACCTGGAGGCAGGGAATAACTCTGAGCTGCGTGTTCTCTGTCTGTCTCTCTGAGCTTTCTGGTGGGGTTAAGCTTCAGATGTCCAAGGTGGAAACTGGCTCTGTAACATCCCTTTTATTAGCGTCTTCTCTTCTTCCTTAACTCTCCACCCCCATTTCAGTTGGGATCACCTCCCAGATAAACCACTAGCATTTCAACATTCCCCACAAAGGGATGTCAACCAAGACAGGCATGTACCATGCATTTCCATCACCCTAAAACCAAGCCCTGATACATCTACTCAGACCCTTTAACATTTCACTGTTTTCTATCAGATCAAGTCCGGGCACCTTAGCAAGGATCTTCAAACACCTGTCTGGTGGCATCTCTCATATACCCATGCTCTAGCTGAACTGAATATTCACTGTCTCTGAAGCATGCCCTCCAGCCTAGCAGGCCATCGGCCAAATATCCCTGCCTGCCAAACTGCTGTCCATTGTTGACGCCAGCCTCCAAGGTGGCTTGTGGCTTGTGGTTCTTGCCATGTTCTTCCCTGGACAGTAGATATTGATAAACACCCAAACACATGTGCGCATCTGGCCCTCAAAGACCGAGACTCAAGTCTCCACCTTCTGCTAAACTCAATTCCCAGCACTCTTGTAGTTCTTTAAGGAATGTTTGTTAAATGTGGGATTTCTTCTGCAAAATGGGGGATCAGGGCTTCAGGAAAAGTGCAGGGCGGGGAATGTGGGGTCTCTGGGGTTTAATGGGGCTATGATTTCGCTCAGATAGGAGACTGCTGCGGTTTAATGATGAGTCCATTACATTGTGGGTGTGGTAGGGAGTGCAGAGCAAAGCTCTCTGCTGAGAATTCCAGGAAGTAGACCAAGATCAGAGCAGAAGAGGTAGAGGTGAGACCCAGGGAAGCTTTCCCCAAAGCAAAGGTTTTGAATGGGAGAGATGTCCTGGGGCCACTTTCCTCAGATACTTTAAATGACAGGATATGCTACATGTAACCTGGATGCATAACATTTTTGGGATCATCGTTCCCAAAGGCATGGGGACCCAATAGTAATCCCCGAGGACAAATCTGAACATGCCAGTCACATATAAATGACCAGAAGTGATTGTACCGATGAAATAGGAAAGAGGAAAAACCTCGGTCAAGCCTCTAGGGGTTGGTCAGTGCAATGTCAAGCCATTGGACCTCAGGAACATCTAGATTTAAGACTGGGGTTTGGCCAGGTCCCTTGTGACTGAACCCCAGTTCTGCATTCTTCCAGCTATGTGACCTGTGCGAAGTTACCTCACCTCTCTGGGCCTCTGTTTTCTCATCTGCAAAAAATGGATAATAGTAGTACCTCCCTCATAGGGGTATTGTAAAGATTAACTGAATGAATCCGCATAAAAACAGAGCAATGCTTGGCACATTTCAGTAAGTGTTAACGATTATCATTATTTTCTGGATATTTAATAGAAATGATTATGATTACTCTCATTTAATCCTCTAATTTAACTCATTGGGGGTAGGCAAGATTATCCTATTTTACAGATGAAAAAAACTGAGACTTGTAGAGGTTTAAAATCCTTGCCCAAGGTCACACAGTGGGAAATTTGAAGTACTGGCTTCAAACCTGCTGCAAAACCCCTGTTCTTTCTTAGCTTGAGGCTTGGGGGTAGGAGAGAGGGAAGGTGGTAAGAATACCAACAGAGGCCAGATCCACATGGTCTCAGCCCAGCCTTTGGTGATATATGAAAAGTTTGTTGAGAGAGATATAGGCAAAGCAGATAACCCACTGTAGACCTGTCGTCACTAGAGCAGAACCAATGTACGAAAACCCCACCCCCATTTTATCTCCTCTGTTGGAATGTGAGTTCCAGATATTCCGTATACATTCAGTCATATGAGTCTTATAGGGACTGCAACACGGAACATTGGAAACCAAAATGGCCCCAGATGATATGGGATGTGTAGTTGCTTTTCAGACCGACCACAAGTCCAGAGGAATTTTTCCATATAGACAACATTTTTTGTCCTTCCCACCTGTGAATACCATTATTCCCTCCCCATCACCACCTATACAAAGGGGAAAAATCGAATTAAATATTTAACTGGTTTACACCCCCTCCCCTGCCTTAGATACCCACAGGAAGGAAAGAAATGGGGGTCTAGAAGAAGAGAAGGAGGAGGCAAAGCTGATGACTGTCCCCAACCCTCAAGCCATGGGGCCCCAACCGCTGGCCCATCAAAGTCCAGTCCTGCCCCCACCCTGAGGTTTGTGGGAGAGAAAAAGGAGCTTGTGGAAAGAAAGGCAATGCGGTGTGGCGGAGATGTGTATTCTTCCCGGTGACACAGTGAGCTGTCTCGCCGGCAAAATGTCCCTTGATCTATTTCCCCTGGTAGTGATTTCAACAACAACAATAACAGAAATCCATCATTTCCTTAGCGGGGAATGGAGGGCGCTGGGGGTTTGTTTTTCTTCTGGTGTGGACAGAAAGCTCTTTATTCTCTCCTTGTTTGGAAAGACTTCCTGCCAGAGGAGCCCAGCCCCAGCTCCAGGAGGGGAAGCTGTGCAAAAGACTAGGGTGAAGAGATGGGTGGGGCGGATAAAGCCCAAGCTGGGCCTCTGACCTTCAGCCAGGAAATTCCTCAGTTTTCTCCTCTCCCAAATGCGGAGAACCACTCAGCAAAGGGAGAAGGAGGCAGACAGCAACAGGCAGCCTAGGGCATCGAAGATGATGGGCCAACTGTTACCAGTAATGAAAATAATAATGAAAGGAAGCATGTGGCATGCCCAAGCATCGCGCTTGGACATCGTAATGACAGATTTCACGATCTGGGCACTCGCCTTGTGCCAGATGTTTTTGCATTCACGATCTTTTGGATCTTCCAGTTAATCCTGCAGAGCAGGTTCCTCCCTCCACATCCATTTTCCATATAATGAAATGGAGGTCCAGAGAAGGTAGGTAACTTGTCCAAGATCACACAGCATCACATGATATTGTCACAATGTAAATGCATGTGTCTTTAAGTCTAGGCCTTGTGCCCATATTCACTCAAACTGTGGTCCCTGGACCAGCAGTATTGGCATCACCTGGAAACCTATATCTCACTCCAGACCTACTGAATTCTATATATATATATTTTTTTTTGAGACAGAGTCTTGCTCTGTCATCCAGGCTGGAGTGCAGTGGTGCGAACTTGGCTCACTGCAACCTCCGCCTCCCGGGTTCAAGCGATTCTTCTTTCTCGGCATCCTGAGTAGCAGGGACTACAGGCACATGCCATCACACCCGGCTAATTTTTGTATTTTTAGTGGAGACAGGGTTTCACCATATTGGCCAGGTTAGTCTTGAACTCCTGACCTCGTGATCCACCTGCCTTGGCCTCCCAAAGTGCTGGGATTACAGGCGTGAGCCACCGAGCCTGGCCCAGACCTACTGAATTCTAAACTCTGGGGCCGG
Source organism: Homo sapiens (assembly GCF_000001405.40). NCBI lineage: Eukaryota > Metazoa > Chordata > Mammalia > Primates > Hominidae > Homo > Homo sapiens. The sequence continues at coordinate 113,566,639 of NC_000012.12, forward strand.
GGCCCAGCACTCTGTGTTTTAGCAACCATCCCCTTCAGTTGACGAGCAAGCACCACCAAGCTTGGGAGCTCCTGAACCGAGCTAGCCTGCATGTGGTGAAACATCGTGCCTCTCTGTTCCTGTTGTTGCTATTATTCGTACATGCTGATTCCATCCAGCTCACGAAACTCACAGCCAACAAGTAAAGTGCAACCAGCCATCACTGCTTTCTGTGGGCTCACATTTCTATTCTATCCAGATGAAAAGAAGATGTTCTTGCAGAGAGTGGTTGATGTGGTGGGTACAGCCCTGGAGCAGGAGGTGGGAAGGGCTCAGGGGCTGGTGCAGGCTTCACTGCTTGCTAGTTAGGCATCTTAGGGCAGGTTCCCCCGAAACAGACCCGGAAATGGAGACGTGCACGCAGGTGGTTTCCCGGGGCGTGCTCTTACAACAAATGCCTGCGAGGAATTAGGACGGCAGGAGGGGGCCAAGAAGGAAGTTGGGCTGGGATGCAGCTGCAATGGGGAGCTCTGGAGCTGGGGTGATCTTTCAGAGATGCCCCAAATTGAGGTGAAGGGGGCTGAGTCTTCACACCCCTGCATCAACTGTACCCATGCCTATCACTGGATATGGGCGCCTCTGGTAAGGTGCCTTCCTTCAGCCCAGGGCGGTTCCTGAGGAGGGCTGACAGCGTAGAACCATCAGAAGCCACCACTGCATCATCTGTGGAATGAGGGCCTGGGGTCTGGGTGGCACACCACAGCACCCACTACACCAGGCATAGGCCTTCTTCTCAGTCTCTTCGTCTGTAAAATGGGAATGATGGCACATTTCTTCTCAGCCTACCATTTAGAGTATTTTGATCAAATGACATGACGATGACATGATTGTAGTGACTCCTGTTTATTGACAGTGTGCTACATGCCAGGCTGTGCTAAGGACTTCCTTGGCAATTGTATCTTGGCTTCATTCCGACCTTGTGAGGTGGGGGCTATGGTGATCCCTATCTTATTGAGGACAAACGCAGGCTCAGAGAGGGGAAGTAATTTACCTGAGGTCTCTCAGCTGCTAAGGGAGTGCAGCTGGCCTTCAGAGTCCCCCTCCTTAACCACTCCTTAACCTCCTTAACCACTGCACTATCCTACCCCACCCCAGTGTAGGTGATCTGCATTCAGACTGTGGGGCTATGCAGGCATAAGACATAGGATTTCTCACCTCCCTTTGGGAATGAATGAATAATTTGGGGATGGCATGTGTACATATGTGTGCACACGTGTACTCATGCTGTCTGATGAACCTAGTTACCACTCTTGAGGATGACCGGGGACCCCCGGTGTTAACAATGGGGAAACTGAGGCACCCTTTTGAAGAGCCTCAGCCAAGAAAAGAAGCCATACTCTGGATTCCCAGCCCAAGGTCATTTCCAGGGGCCCTGGTATCACAGGAGTCTGCAAAGTGGAGCTGGAAAAGGCCAGCATGGAGCTGAGCGACCTGCAGGTGATAGTCTGAATGAGGACCTAAAGCTAGGATCCACTTGCAGACTCAGCCTAGGGGCATGCAGGCTGGCCATCAAGACCAGGCATGCCCAGCCCCCTAAGTCTAGTTTCTATCCACTGCCCTCCAGTGGCCCGGCCTTCTGGTCAGCAGTTGCCTTTGGCCATCCCTTGGCTGGGGAATATCAAGGGGAAAATTCTCTTTGTTCTCTAAATACAATCCCATGTAATTAAGCAAAAGAGAGTTGCTAGGGCTGCTAGGTGGAAAAAAAATTCAAGAATTAAGAAAACCCTTGGCAGAGCATGATGGCTCAGGCCTGTAATCCAAGCACTTTGGGAAGCCAATGCAGGAGGATCGCTTGAGGCCAGGAGTTTAAGACCAGCAAGCAAGACAACATAGCAAGACCCCGTCACTACAAAAAAATTAAAAAGAATTAGTTGTGTCTGTAGTTCCAGCTACTTGGGAGGCTGAGGCAGGAGGATCCCTTGAACTCAGGAGTTCAAGGCTACAGTGAGCTATGATTATGCAACTGTACTCCAGCCTGGGCCACAAAGCAAGACCTTGTCTCTACAAAGAAATCCCTAGACCAGGGGTTAGCAAATTAACCCCTGAGGGCCAAATCCAGCTCACACCCTGTTTTTGTAAATAAAGTCTTATTGGAACACCGTGATGCCCATTTTTGAAAACATACTGTGTTTCACGTTACAACGACAGTGTTGAATAGTTGCAATGGAGAGTATGAGGTCTGCAAAACCCAGAATATTTTGCTGTCTGGCACTTTGCAGAAAAACTTTGCCAGCCGCATTCTAGATAGGAAGCTCCATGAGGGTAGGGGCTGAGATTGAGGCTTGAGTTTGGCTGAAGCCAGGAACAAGGGGCTGGAACAGGCTGGGGGACCTGGGAGCCTGGGAAGAAAGCCTAGCCCTTGCCTGCGGGTGGGTCTTTGCCCAACCCAGACCCTCAGGGTCTGTGCCTTCTCCCCACCCTCCTTCCCCAGTGGCTGATTTGCTCACCACTATGTTCCTAGGGTCTAGAGCAGGGCCTGCTGATAGTTTCCAGAGGATACCGTACATCTTGAATAAATGAATGTGTGTTTGATTCCCCAACTCACTCTTGGACCTCAGCTAAGTCTTGCCCTCTCCGGCCTCAGTTTTCACACCTATGGAATAAGCAAGATCAAGGTCTCTTTTTCTTTTCTTTCTTTTTTTTTTTTTTGAGACAGAGTCTTGCTCTATCGCCCAGGCTGGAGTGCGGTGGTGCGGTCTCGGCTCACTGCAACCTCCGCCTCTCGGGTTCAAGCGATTCTTCTGCCTCAGCCTCCGGAATAGCCGAGACTACAGGCACACACCACCATGCCTGGCTAATTTTTGTATTTCTGGTAGAGATGGGGTTTCACCATGTTGGTCGGGCTGGTCTCAAACTCCTGACCTCAAGAGATTTGCCCTCCTTGGCCTCCCAAAGTGCTAGGATTATAGGCATGAACCACTGCGCTCCGCCTCAAGGTCTCTTTTTCAAATCCTGTGTCTATGAATCCTCTAAGGGTTTTTCCTCTTTTAGGGGAGGTGGAGGAGGGTCTCAGGGCTCAGAGTCTGATTAGGAGTAGAGAGGAGCTGGAGGCATGGTGCCCACTGCTAGGAGGGCCCTGGAGAGAAGAAAGATGAGAAGGTACTGAGGACATGGAGTCAAGAGGGGCGTCTGGGGGCGGCGGAGGGGAGAGGACAAAGGGGAAGATTCCAAGCAGGGAGGCAGATGGGAAGGAGTGGCCCCCGGCGGGATGGAGGAGGCCGGCTGGCCACAATCACGGGCCCAGCAGTCGAGCGTGAGGCCACAAGCTTTCCGCAGAGAATGAGGCTGGGGAGCTAATGAGCTCGGGAGGTGCAAAGGATGCCGTCCTGCTAATTCCTGCTCTCTGGGAGCAGCCGGAGAAGGCAGAGAGGGCCGGGGCCCAGGCTGGGCAGCTGGGCCCCCACTCAGGGGCTCGGCCAGCTGGTCAGCTGCCGGCTGGGGCTTCATGCCAGGCCCAAGGATGCCCCGGCCAGCCTGCTGGTCCACCTTGTGCCCTGCTGCCTCAGGCCTCGGGCAGGGGAAGGAAGGGTCATCCTATGGCTTGGTCCCTAGAGCAAATGTTGTGACAGCCGTGTGCTCACCTGGCTGGTGAATCAGCCCAATGGCTTCCATGAGCTCAGGCTCAGACAACTGACTGCATTTCCAGGTTTCAAAAATATTCAGCTCTTCAAAATTGCTGATAATCATAAGCACCAACATGATGATAAGAACAGCAATGGTGATAACAAGAGCTTCCTGTTACCCAGCACCTGCTAGAATCTCACAGAGCCCGGTGAGGTGCACAGGGGTTATTATTACAGTGAGGGTTTTCTGTCCTCAGTACTTTGACATTTTGGGCCATGTAATTCTCTTTTGTAGGGGCTGTCCTGTGCGCTGTGGGATGTTTATCAGCGCCCTTGGCTTCTACTCACTAGATGCGAGTAGCACCCGGTGGTAACAACAAAAATATCTTCAGAGATTGCTCAATATCACCTCCAGGGTGGGCAGGGGGGCGGGGGGTGGGTGGGAAATACTGATTATATCTTATTTTACGGCCTCACCATTCTGAGGCTCAGAAAGGTGAATACTGTGTATCTTGTAGGACTGAGTCTCAAACTTCTCTCTTCAGCCTTCTCCCTCATCTCCACCAGCGATTAGGTTTGTTACATTTATTTTTCAGATATGGAGTTATGGATCTTTTTCTATGCATGTATTTACAAAATTGGGATCATACCGAATATGCTTTTTTTTTTTTCTTGAGATGGAGTCTCACTCTGTCACCCAGGCTGGAGTGCAGTGGCACGATCTTGGCTTACTGCAACCTCCGCCTCCTGGGTTCAAACAATTCTCTGCCTCAGCCTGCCGAGTAGCTGGGATTACAGGCGCTCACCACCACGTCTGGCTAATTTTTGTATTTTTAGTAGAGATGGGGTTGTACCATATTGGCCAGGCTGGTCTTGAACTCCTGAACTGGTGATCCACCTGCATCGGCCTCCCAGAGTGCTGGGATTACAGGCGTGAGCCACCGTGCCTGGCCCAAATGTGCTTTTTTATAACTTGATTTCCTCCTTTAAAAACCTAGTACATATGTGTTTGGGTGAAAAGTTGCTTATCAGTACATACAGCATGACACCCTTTGTATCAACACACACACACACCACACATACATATTTGTATATGCATAAAGACTATCTGGAAACATGCACACAAAATTGAGGTCAGCAATTTCCCTTGGGAAGTTGGATTGGGGCAAAATGGGAGTAGAGAATAGAAAACTCTGTTTCCATTACACATTTCTGAGTTTTTGACCTTTTACATCAATCAGGTATTTCTTTTTAATTTTAAAAACCAATGAATCAGCACAAACATTCCTTTTTGACAGTTCATTGATAACTACAACACAAATTTTTTTTTTCTTCAACTTTTATTTTAAGTTCAGGGGTACATGTGCAGGACATGCAGGTTGTCACATAGGTAAACGTGTGCCATGGTGGTTTGCTGCACCGATCAACTCATCACCTAGGTACTAAGACCAGCATGCATTAACTATTTTTCTTGACACTCTCCCTGCCCCCACCCACTCCCTCCAACAGGCCCCAATGTATGTTGTCCCCTGTCATGTGTCCATGTGTTCTCATCATTTACCTTCCACTTATAAGTGAGAACATGTGATGTTTGGCTTTCTGTTCCTGCATGAGTTTACTGATGATAATGACTTCTAACTCCATCTACGTCCCTGCCAAGCACATGATCTTGTTCCTTTTTATGGCTGCATAGTATTCCATGTGTATGTGTGCCACGTTTTCTTTATCCAGTCTATCATTTATGGGCATTTAGGTTGATTCCATGTCTTTGCTAGTGTGGATAGTGCTGGAATGAACATATGCGTGCATGTGTCTTTATAGTAAAATGATTTATACTCCTTTGAGTATATTCCCAGTAATGGGATTGCTGGGTCAAATGGTATTTCTGCCTCTAGGTCTTTGAGGAATCACCACACTGTCTTCCACAATGGTTGAACTAATTTACACTCCCACCAACAGTGTAAGAGTGTTCCGTTTTCTCTGCAACCTCACCAGTATCTGTTGTATTTTGACTTTTTAATAATAGCCATTCTGACTGGCATGAGATAGTATCTCACTGTGGTTTTGATTTGCATTTCTCTAATGATCAGTGATGTTGAGCTTTTTTTCATATGTTTGTTGGCCTCATGTATGTCTTCCTTTGAGAAGTGTTTGTTCATGTCCTTTGCCCACTTTTTAATGGTTTTTTTTTTCTTGTAAATTTGTTTAAATTTCTTGTAGACTCTGGATGTTAAATCTTTGTCAGATGAATAGATTGCAAAATTTTTCTCCCATTCTGTAGGTTGTCTGTTCACTCTCATGATCGTTTCTTTGGCTGTGCAGAAGCTCTTTAGTTTAATTAGATCCCATTTGTCAATTTTTGCTTTTTACAACATGAATCTCTAAATATTGCAAGATACTTCACTGCACGACGTACTATAATGAATTTAGCCATTGTTAAGCCATTGTTTAACCATAAATAATGCTGCAATGAACATCTTCCTTTTGTGCTTAAGAATGGAAGGTTGAGGGGCAGAGTTCTAGGTTTTTCCTTGGCTCAGCTCCTTCAGATGCATTTTTATAGCATTATCTCATTTAATCTTTTCAGCAACACTGTGGTTGGATATAACTGTGATCCCCATTGTACAAATTAGGAAAGTGGGACTCCAAGAGGCCCAGTAACTTGCTCAAGATCACAGAAGGAATTAGCCAGCATAAGAGAGGTGTTAACAAAGAATTAGTTCCCTACTAAGACTTTCTCTCTCAAGTGATCCAAACGACCAAAAGAAAATGGAAGAGAGAAAAACTCAGCCTTTGATTCTCAAACTTAACATGCACGTGACTCACCTGGAACTGGGGTAAAAGCAAATTCATAGGGACTGGGGAGGATGGGAGGTAGAAGTTGAGTGTGGTATAAGAGGGTAGCACGAAGAGTCCTGTGATGAACTGTTCTGTTTCTTGACAATTGTGGGGGTTGCATGAATCTACACATGACAAACTTACACAGAACCAAATTGCACCCACAAATGAGGGTAAACTAAAACTAAACAAGTAAAACTGTAAAATCTGAATAAGGTGGGTGGATTGGGTCAATGTCAGTCATGTCAATTTTCAGTTTGGGCTTTATACGAGAGTTTTGCAAGATGTTACCATTGTGGGGACCTGCATGAAGGGTATAGCAGCTCCCTGGATTATATATTACAACTGATTGTGAATCTACAGTGACCTCAGGATTAAAAGTAAGCCCTCAAACCAGATTTTGACTTAGGAGGTCTGGGGTAGAGTCAGGGACTCTGCATGTCTGTATTGGTCCCTAGAGCCAATGTTGTGACAGCCATGCACTCACCTGGATGGTGAATCAGCCCAGTGGCTTCCATGAGCTCAGGCTCAGACAACTGACTGCATATCATGGTTTAAAAAGTACTTGCAAATGATGCTGATGGCCTGTCCCCAGCCAGGGTCTGGAACTGCACCCTACAGTATCGGGAGTCATAAATGGCTATCGGGCACTTGAAATGGGGGCAGTCTAAATTGAGGTGTGCCATCAGTGCAGAACACACGTTGGGTTTTGAAGACTTAGTATGAAAAGAGAATGTAAAATATTTCATCAGTAATTTTTAATATTTATTCTATGTTGAAATGATATTTTGGCAACATTAGGTTAAATAAAACAGATGTTTAAATTTCTTTTTAGGCCAGGTGCGGTGGCTCACGCCTGTAATCTTAGCAGTTTGTGAGGCTGAGGCAGGAGGATTGCTTGAGCCCAGGAGTTTGAGACCAGCCTGGGCAGCATGGGAAGACCCCATCTCAAAAACAAAAATTTATTTCACTCGTCTCATTTTTTTTTTTTTTCAAAATGAGGCTATTAGAAAATTTGATGTTGTACTTGTGGCTTGCATTATATTTTTATCAGATAGCTCTGGGCTAGAGCGTTGAAAGAAGATGACATCCAGGGGAAAAAAGTGGTGATCAGAGGGGCAGGAGGGGGTCGGTTCATTAGTCAGTCAACAAACAGTTCCTGAACATATGCTATGTGCTCAAGGTGAGCCACGCAGCCGTAGCCTCTGACCTTGTGGAGCTGGCAGTTTAGAGTGGGAAAACCCAGTTATCTGGGGACATCCTGAAAACAAGGAGAGGGGCTTTCAGAGAGGAAGCAAAGGGCCATAACAGAGTTGGAGTTTGTGGCAATATTGCCACTGACTTTGAACCTGGCCGCAGGCTGATGTGTTCAAACAATAAAGTTAATTCTGTTCTCTGGTCCAGGCACCGGGCTAAGTCTTGTCTGCATAATGGAATAATCAACTGGACAACCCCGCTAGGTAGGTACTGGCATTAGCCCCATCTTACAGCTGCAAAAGAGGTGCTCTGAGAGGTAAAGTGCCCTGCCCCAACGCGTACAACTAGAGAGCAGCCAAACAGGTGTTTGAACCCAGCTCTGCCTGACTTCAGATCTGTGTGCTTAACTGCCATGAGAAACCACTTTTCTTTGCTCCTGGCTGCAGAAATGCAATGCTGCAATGTTGCATTCATATTTATTGTTTCAGGGCTCTCTCTCATGCCAGCTCTCCAAAGGGGAGAAGTAGGCTGCCCAATTCCCGCCCTCTCCTCACGACCTTGCTGGCACCCTCCCCAGCTGATATCATAGGAAAATTTGACCCATTCCCAAATTCAGCCTCTCCACATTCAGCAAGCCCCTATCCCCATGCCTGTGGCTACTGGCCAACTCTTGGGTTGGGGGTGACGCTGCCAGCAGTGGGGGACTTGCCCCTGTGGCCAGAACAAAGTTGGAACTGAAGTCACCTCCACCTCCTCCCCTCTTCCTCCCTACCACCCTCCCAGCTGCCTGCCACGGTCCCCAAGCCACCCCCAGCTTCAGTGCAATTTAATGTCTCACCGAGCTGTCCTTATTTGACAAACAGGTGATTTTGCTAACGAGGAATAAATGAGATCCACACGATGAGAGAGGGTGTGCGGCAGCTGGCGTGAGGGCAACATGCGCTGGGTTTATTAAAATAATATCTGGCCACATGCTCAGAACTCAGGGTCCAGGGTGGGGGAGCACCTCGCTTTTCTCTCCACCACCTTCTGCTCCTGCCCAGCCATCATCTTGTCCCTGTTCCCTTCCAGCTTCCGAAAGGGTGCCTGTCCCCAATTTGGGCTGGACAGTTGGCATGGATGGGGGAAGCCTGGAAGACGGAGGTGTGAGAACCTGGGTGTGTGAGTGTGAGTACGTGTGTGTATGTGACTGTGTGTGAGTGTGATCGCGTGCACATGCATGCCTACGTATGTGACTGTGTGCGGGGCTGGACTGTGTGTGCGGGGCTGGACTGTGTGTGCGGGGCTGGTCTGTGTGGGAGAGGCAAGTTTAACAGAAAAGGGAGCAGGAGAGAGTGGGTGGGGGATTTGAAGAGAGTGGGCAGGAGACAGGGAGGAAGTGAGGCAAACAGGGGCCCAAGGAGGGGAACAGTGGGAGCCTGGGAGCACAGAAGCCCCAAGTGGTGGGGGAGCTCTGGGTTCTGGGATGGCTCTGAAGTTACTGCGGTATGACCTGGGGTGGGTGTCCTCGCTCTCTGGGCCTTGGTTTCCCCCACCTGCGCAATGAGGGGTTGAACTTTTGCCTTGTGCTGGTCCTTCTTGCACTGCTGTTTGATGAGAAAGGAAGACAGCAGAGTTGGGAAGGGGAGAGGAGGAGCCACAGTACAGGGGAGATGTTTCCTATTCTAAGGCTGGGGCGCTAAGAGAAAGTGTGACCCCAACTCCCCAGGGGCAGCCTGGCCACATTTGCACCAAACCTGGATGGTGGATCTTCAGGCAGGAATGGGAGTGAGGGCAAGGTCTGAAACGAAGGAAACAGACAGGTGGTGAGAAGGTGGACTTAGGATGGAGCAGGCAGCGGTGGCTGGGAAGGCGGGAGGCGTGTCCTGGGCTTTGCATCTCTGGCTTTGCTTATGCTGTTCCCTCTTTGTCCCTTTCTGCCTGGACTCATCCTCAGACTCAGGCCCACTATACCTCCTCTCTGAGGCTGTTCACCTTCTCCTATTCCCCCCAGCAGACATTACTCTCTTTTTGAGCCCAGGGAGCAGCAAGAGGACCATAGGAGAGGGTGGCATCCTGGAAGGCCTCCTGGGGGAGGTGAGGCCTGAAAGTGAGTTTCAAAGGAGGCAATGGCTCCTGAACTTCTGACAGTCCATGCCCCTTGTGGGTCTGTGCCCACCTGCCCATGACTTTTACTTAACATTGCTCTTGAAGTGGTGTTACATAAAAGTCATGGGCAGGTGGGCACAGACCCAAAACATTTACTTAGCATTGCTTACAACGTTTACTTAATATTGTTCTTGAAGTCAGCCAACCCTTTGTGCTTAAGTGGATTTGGAGAGGCAATGTGTACATTACAGTGGCGTGGAAATCCAGCATCACTGAATGGGCTTGTTAACATATTTTCTACCAGAAATGTATTTTCCTGGGTGACTCATGGCATTAGGACACGTTGGTCTAGGCACAGGGGGAAAAGTGACAGGAATCCCTGAGGCTCCAACTGGGGGCCTGAGCTGAGGCGGGGCAGGGGGCGTGGTGGGGGCAGGGCAAGCAGGTCTGTGGGGCCTGGATGCCAGAGGAGAGGGGTGGGCTCCATTAGCCAGAGAAGGTTGGAATGGGCATGTCGAAGTGGCCAACGTGCTCCCGCTCCTGGGGCCAGGGAGGCTTCCAGTCACCTGAAGGTGTGGGGTGGGGTCTCCTAGGGACAGCGTCACCGCTTCTGGCCTGTCCACGTGCCCTATGACTGCTGTCACTGTTCTCCCTTTCTCTGTTCCTGTCACTCCCTGAGCCTCTTTCTCTTTGAAGTGCCAGGCTGTCTGTCTGTCTGTCTTCTCTCATCTCTGTCATTTTCCTTCTGGGTTCCTGCCGTGTGCACAGCCTCTCCTCCACAAGGCAGGCTGGGTCCCTCCTCCTCTTCCTCCTCTCTGACTCCTCTCCCCCTGCTCCCCAGCCAGCCTTTCTCCCCAGAGTCTCTCCTCTGTATCTGCCTTCTCTGTGTCTCTCTGCTTCTCAGTCTCTTCCCATCTTCCTTTCTCCTTTCTCTCTGCCTCTCTGTTCCCTCCCTCCCTTAGTCTCTTTGCCCATCTCTGACTTCCAGGCTCTCTAGATCTAACTCCATGTCTCTCTGTCTTTATGTCTTTCTCTCTTTCCCATAAAACAAGGATGTCACCCCCGCACAAGGATAGTGATCCTTCAGCCCCTCCCCCCCACCAACACACTGTCCTTAAATGCACACTAAAACCCTAAATGTCCATGGTGTACCCTCAGCTCATGGGTCCCCACTGCAGCCATCTCATCTAGGAACCCACCCTGTCTTCTTGTGGGTGGAATGAAGTTCACCCTTGACCGTCTTAAGGACACTCCCTCTGAGCCCAGGGCACAGCACACAGTAGGTCTTTGGGAATGGTTTGAGGAGTGACCATGATGGGTACAGCTGTTCAGGCTGGTCCTGCTGCTGTGTGGTTTTATCTCCGAGAAACTCACCCTCCCAGAGTGGAAGGAAGAGAAGCAAACACACACACCCCCACCCACCTGGCTCCCCTCACCCTTCCTTGACAGAGGAAAGACAGTTTTCTTGTCTCCGGCTGTCTTCCTTCCCATCCATCATTTCCTCTTTTCTGCTCCCTCCTCCAGTCCCACACCCAATCACTCTTACTGACTCCTGGTGCCCTCCCCCAATCTCCATCTCCATTGGCCCCAACGCAAACAGTCTCTCCTCCTTGCAGGGATCAGAAGTGAGCCAGGGTGATGGGGAGGGAGGTGTCTTGAGAATCAAGAGTAGAGATGATTCCGGGATATGCATAGAGCTCTGTTGGTTAATAGCCCGGAAGCCTCCCTCTCCCCACACCTCCAGTCACATGGAAGGCGGGGAGCAGAATTTCCATCTGAGATTTCTCAGGGCTTCCCATCTTAAGTGAGAACCCAATACCATCCTTTAACAATGATATTCAAAGTTATACCGTGATGCTATGTTGTAAGCATTTATCCATGCTTAGATCTTTAAGAAGTAATTTATAAAATTTCAATACAGAATGATCCAAACCCCAACAAAACAAAGCAAAACACCCAGGCACAGAAAACAGCCTGGAAAGAAATAAGCTATAATATTAATGTTGGTTTTCTTTGAGTGGTGAGATGCTAAGTAAAACATGTATACTTTTAAATCTTTTTTTCTGTATTTTCCAAATATTTCTTAGTGAGCCTTTTAAGATTAATTCATTGTTCTCAAGTGGCTATGTTTATCCATGCAGCTGTATATGTGCTTAACATTTTGAACACCTATTTAACAGTGCTATTTTGAAAGTACTTTATTCTCGTGTTTACGTTTTATTTATTTTTGGAGTAGGTAATACCTTCGTGTGGTTTATAACTCAAAAGCTACCAAAAAAGTATGAAGTGAAACTACTACCTCTCTCCCTCCCTGGCCACCTGGCTCTCCTTCCTAGAGGGAAACGGTAGCACCTGTTCCTTATATATGCTTCCAGCGACAACATCATGTTAGGAATTCAGAAACATACATACTCCTTTAAGAATAGAGATTACTCAAGGATTCTGTAGCACCACTGAGTTTTCCCTTCTGCTTCAGGAGACCTAGTCCTGGGCCAAAGGTTGGAATTTCCCCAGCCCAGACAGGTGGTCTCTCTGGCCAATGTCCTCTTCCAGAACTCTTCCTTCCAGCCCTCCTGGCCTCCGACACTGGCCAAGACACAAAGTATCCCTTTTTCTTTTTCAAACCCTCTAGTATTCCTGATTACAAAAGCAATGCCTGAATGAAAACATTCTGGAAACAGGCAATATAGAACCTTCACTGTAATTGTACCCTCAGACACAATCAACAGGAACATCTTTTGGTTAATATTTTGCTGTGGTTTGAATGTGTCTCCCAAAATTCATGTGTTGGAAATTTAATCCCTAATGCAACAGAGTTGAGAGTTGGGACCTTTAAGAGATGATTAGTTCTTGAGGGTGCTGTCCTAATGAATAGATTAATGTTGTTAATGTGAGAGTGGGTTTGTTATCAAAGTGAGTTTAGCCCTCTCTTGCTCTCTCTCCCTCTCTCACAGCGTGTTGCCTTCTGCTATGTTATGATGCAGCAAGAAGGCCCTCACCAGTTGCAGGCCCTTGATCTTGGACTTCCCAGCCTCCAGAATCTTGAGCCAGCTACATTTCTGTTCATTAAAAATTACCCAGTCTGGGGTACTCTGCTATAGCAGCAGGAAACAGACTAAGACATAGTTCCTCAGCATTTTATTCTAGGTATATACTTTTAGAAAGTGGAGGTGGATGGAGCAGAGTGTGTGGCATTTTCCAATTCTTTACTTAATATATCTTCACTTAATTTATCTGTCAAGTCAGTACAGAGAAATATGCCTCATTAATAAGATCCATTTTTGAGATGTGGTTTGGAGTAAGAGAAGGGAAACATTTTGTGCTTTGTCTGATGTTCCTTATTCCTTGCTTTTTGTCTTTTTTTTTTTTTTTCAGGTGCAGGGCCTGATGAAGTCTAGATGGGTGAAATTAGTAGCCAAGCTAGGGTACTCAAGGTACTTGATGCCTCAGCTGGAAGGAAAGAGACCCAGAGGTCCCCAGAATGGTGGAGCAATGCTCTCCAGCCAAGTAGGAAACACTTATTTTGCTAGAAATGATGAAGGGCTGCTTTGGTCCAAGCTAGCAACTGTGGCCCAGGCTCATGGTCGCTCAGTATTAGCTTGAGACACCTTAAAAAGACGATGTAGCTCACCTCGCTGAAGCTTCCATAGACTGAGCTGCCAGAGCTGGCCGGGACCTGGGAAATCTCCAGATGAAGGTGGCTTTAGAGCCAGGAGACCTTATCTAGTTGCAGCTTGGTGAGACCCATGACACATCCTCCTCCTCCCTGGGCCCCAGTTTCCCATCTGTAAGAAAAAGAAAGTGGAGGGGGTGTTAGCATTAAATGAGAGCTTAGGAGATGCCAGGTGCTGTGCCAAGTTCTTTACATTTGATGATCTCATTTTATCCCCAGCAACTCAGCAAGGTAGGTACTGTTAGAAGAGGAGCCATGATTCAAAGAGATGAGAGAATTTCCCTGAACAGATCCAAATGATAAATACAGGGGCCAGGATTTGAACCTAGGATTGCCCAACTCCAGAGCCCAACCTCTCGACCCAATGGCCTAAGATTCCGTGCCTTAAACTGACTTTCCCATAAAGACAGCCACCAAGGGGACTAGGAATGTGATTGTGTCTTTAGTGGGCTTGGGTTTGACTTTCTCCGACATTGTGTTCCTTACAATCTTCTGATGCTCTTGGCCTCTTGGAGACCAGGCTTTGGATCCTACTCATTCTTGCATCTCTAACATCCTGTGCATTGCCCTGTGCACAGAAGCACTCAAGAAATATTTGTGACGTCATTTCATAGAGCATCTTTTGAACTCCTCTTGTACATTGGGCACTGTCCTAGGTGCTAGGGATAAATAATGAAAAATAATAGTGTGTAATAATAATAGTATTCTTTGTCTTGTGCTAGGTGGTTTGCTAAATGTACATAGGAATGCACACACACTGTCAACTTGTTTAGTGCAAACCTCAAAACAACCCTACTATACCCTCAATCCTTATATGAGAAAAAAGCTCAGAGAGGTCAAGAACTTTGTTAAGGGCACACAACTGATAAATAGTAGTGCTGGGATTTAAATATGGGTCTGTCAAGCTCCAAAGTACTCTTTGTCACTAAATTGTATTCTTCCATCTTCCCAATCTCTGGCTTCAAGTTGCTCACAGCCTACTTCAGTAGACAGGATACAGGCACAAATAACTATAATAAGAGGTAAGAGGGGGTAGGTACCTTCAGAGAACTGTAGAGAATGAACGAATAATGCAGATTTTGTGAGCTTAGAAGATGGAGAACCTACTTGTGGTTGGGAAAACAAGAAAGATTTTAGGAAAACACAGTGGCATGTGCATTGGGCATTGGGAAATAGGTAGAATTTGCAACTGCAGAAATTGCAAGAGAGGAGCTCAAGGTGGGGTAAATGTTCAGAAGTGAGAAATTGCAGAGCAGGTGCAAGAAATGTAGGATGTGAGTTTTTGTGGAGGAAAAGAAGAGGCAGGGAAGGAAATAATAATGATTTGGACACAATGTATCTTATTAACTTAAATAATTTGTCAGTTGTTTCTTTTGCATTTTGTAGGTAGACAATCATATCACATATACATAATGTCTCTACCTTTTCAAACATCATATTTTTGTGTTTTTTTTTTCTTGTCTTATTGCATTGGCTAATGCCTGAAGTACAATGTTGAGTAGTGGTGGTGATCTTGGGTAACTTCATCCCCATCTTGTATTTAAATGAAAATATTTTAAATATTTCACCAATCTGTATGTCACTTGATGAGATTTCATTAGGAACTGGAGTTGAAACAAATTGTATCTGACACATTTATGAGCCTCATCAGATTCTCTTGTCTCATCTGCTTCCCAGACCTTAGCTGTTTGGTCAGCCTTAGTCACCAACAGCAGCCAACTCACTCCACATAGTCTCATGCAATTCTGCTGTCTAGGGCTGATCAGCTACTAGCCCCGAGTCCCTGACTTTTCTTGTCACTTTTGGACTTAGGAGAAATATCACAACACAGTGTATGGCTTCCCAAGCAGCTGCCAGTGGGGCTGTATGATGCAGCCCAGAAATGCAGGGGAGTTAACCCAGGGGAGAATCTTTGACCAAGAGGATCAGAAGATAGGGAGGGAGCTGATCTGATAAATTCCCTCCTTCTTCCTCTGGTGGACTAGTCAGAGGCACAACCACATGGAGGTGCCCTGCAAAGCTGAGCAGCCCAATGGCCAAACAACCTGCTTTCCTTTCCCAAGAAGCAGTGAGCAGCATAGCAATATATCACCTTGCCTTGCTCCCATCTGCTCCTGCCTTAATTCCTCCTTCTCTCACTCTCACTGCCTTGGGTTTGTACCTTTTAACAAGTTACTGTTTTCTGGAACCTGCACAAGGACATTTTCCATATTCCTATTAAGCATTTATTGAGATAATCATATCATTTTCCTCTAAGCTGATAATGTTGTGAATGTCATTGACACTTTGTTCCAAAACATGCTTGTATTCCTGGGATAAACCCAACTTGGTGAGCAGATCTTTTTGCAGGTGTGGAAGAGTCTGTTTTCCATACTGTCGTATACCTTGTGAGTGTGGCTGTGTGTGCACACCTGGCCATACAAAGTACCACAGCCTCTCTCGTTTCCAGCCGTGTTTCTCCTCTGCAGATGGAGTCAGGCAGGCTGGCAGCTGGAGATGATGGAGGTGGTGGCAGCAGCTCTGAGGAGAGTGGGAGGGGGAGAGAGTGCAGAAAGTGTGGTAATTAGAAACCAGGCGGTATCACAAATCTCCCAGCCGCACTGACACCCGGGGAGAGTGATCACACACTTGGAGTCAGCCCAGATAACTGTGAAAGCTCTTCACTCCATCTCTAGGCAGTAAGAGGAAGGGGAAGATGAGGGCTTTGGTATCCACAGCCCCACCCCCTGCACTCAACCCAAGAGAACCATGAGGTCATCCTTGCACTCCCCCTCCCTCAGCTGTGACCTGGGTCAGGGAACTGTGACTCAGAGGTGTGGAGGAGCAGCCCAGAACCCTGTAAAGATAAGGGAAAGGTCCTGGGATGATGTGGCCCTGGAGAAGGAAAGGTGAGGAAAGAATTCATCGTGGCATCCAATCAAGGCTAGGTAGTCTTTAACAAGCAAACTCAAACTGGCCCTCATCAGAAGTGGCAAAGCATGCTTCCCAAGGTTGAAAAATTAGTCCCTGAGGAAACTGGAAATTAGTATGGGTTGAAAGGCTCCTGTGTGTGTGTACCAGGGATGAGTTAGGTTATTTCTCAACAATCCTGCTGTTTGCTGGATGAGGAAGTGGCAGCTCAGAGAGGCTGCGTCCTTGGCCCAAGGACACACAGCTCTGCAGTGGTGGAGGGGAGATCTCCCTACTTTGGAAGCCATTCATCTCCCTTTTCCCCTAATAAACAAGTGGAAGCTCTACCTCTATGGGACAGGTGCTTGGAGGTTCAGGGTGTTTTCAGCAGCAGGGAGGTGGGCAGGTGGCCTTTTGATTCCAAAACAATAAACAAACAGGAATGTAATCCCCCACCCACTGGAGCTAGCTTCTTTTTGGGCCAGTGACTTTGGTTCCAAGGGAATTATAGAACTAGAGATTCTTCCTCTTTCTCTGGTTGCAGCAATTCCCAACCCGGGAAGGTGGCCCAAGTGAGCAGCCTTCACTGGCCACAGTGCGAGGCTCTATGGGTGATTCAGGTGTTGCCCTTTCCTTCCCTTCTCAGGCTGGCCTCCTCCCTAGAGTGGATACCTGGTAAGAAGTAGAAAACTGGAGAGGTGGGGCCAGCCCATGGAAGGTTCCCCAGATCAGCCCAAGAATTCACATGGAGGATCTGTAGTGGGGTGTCCCAGCCTCTCACTGACTCACTTGTCACTTGGCTCCTGGCTTGTTCTGTTTCCAGAACATTCCAGAATGGCTTCTGGCATGGTGTTACAGGAAAGGAGTCCCAATCCAGACCCCAAAAGAGGGTTCTTGGATCTCATGCAATAAAGAATTCAGGCCGAGTCCATAAAGTAAAGTGAAAGCAAGTTTATTAGGAAAGTAAAGGAATGAAAGAATGGCTACTCCATAGGCAGAGCAGATCCAAGGGCTGCTGGTTGCCCATTTTTATGGTTATTTCTTGATGATATGCTAAACAAGGGGTGGATTATTTATGCCTCCTCCTTTTTGGCCCTTTTGGGTAACTTCTTGACATTGCCATGGCATTTGTAAACTGTCATGACGCGGGTGGGAGTGCAGCAGTGAGGGCGACCACAGGTCACTCTCGTCACCATCTTGGTTTTGGTGGGTTTTGGCTGGCTTCTTTACTTATCCTGTTTTATCAGCAAGGTCTTTATGACCTGTATTTTGTGCAGACCTCCTATCTTATCCTGTGACTCAGAATGCCTAACCATCTGGGAATGCAGCCCAGTAGGTTTCAGCCTCATTGTACCCAGCTCCTGGTCAAGATGGAGTCACTCTGGTTTAAACGCCTCTGACAATGGGGCCTCTCTACTCCTGCCTTTTCCTTTCTCTTGTAACACCCTTGATTTAGGCCTTTGCTTGGCTGTTTTCTCCTTGACAGTGAGGTCTCCACTCTGCAGAGAGGACTTCCCTGACCAAAGTAGTTCCTATTACTCTACCTTTTTTCCCCCCATGGCACTTATTGCTGCCCATAGGCAAATTAACAAATAAGTTAGACACAATAATTTTTGTCTCCTTTCCATCCCATGCTCTGCTTTTAAGTGGTGGATTTTGTAAAATCTAGGATCTTGGGTATCTTGATCACTGCCGAGGCTGGGTACATAGTGGATGTTCAATAAAATAGTTGTTGAATAAATGACTGAATTAATGAAGGGAAAGCACGTAGGCTCTGCCACTTACTAGTTGCATGACCTTGAGCACGTTACTTAACTTCTCTGTGCCTCAGTTTTCTTATTTTTTAGAGATAAGGTCTCACTCTGTTGTCCAGGCTGGAGTGCAGTGGCATGATCCTAGCTCACTGCAGCCTCGATCTCCTGGGCTCAAATGATCCTCCCATCTCAGCCTCTCGAATAGTTGGAACAACAGGTGTGTGCCACCATGCCCAGTTAATTTAAAAAAAATTTTTTTTTTTTTTGTCAAGACGGAGTTCTTGCTATGTTGCCCAGGCTGGTCTCAAACTGCTGTCTCAACTGTTCCTCCCGCCTTGGCCTCTCAAAGCTCTAGGATTACAGGTGTGAGCCACCATGCCTGACCTAGTTTCCCTATTTATAAAATGGGGGTGACAGCAGGACGCTCTTCTTGTGGTTGTGGCCATGAGACAATGCAGACAAGTCCTCTTATATCCTGGTCATCACTGGGTAATTAGATTACAAAGGAGGAAAGTGGGGCACAGAGAAGAGTGGCTGGTCCTGGGTCCCAGAGAGCATCAGCTGCAGGTGGAGATTGTTACTTGGATGTTCTGGCTTCTGGCATTCCTTCCTTGAGATGCTGGGACTCCATTCAGTAGGTCCTAGGATGCCATCTTAGAGGCCTGAGCAAGTATAGCCATGTCATAATTTTTAAAATGAAAGTAGAGTTTTAGAAAAAAGCATCTAGCAGACAGATGAATGTGTCCCTAGAGAAAAGTGGCCCCTGAGTTCCAGGTAGGGATGTTCATAGCAGCTCTGTTTGTAAGAAGCAAAACCAGGAAATGATCTAAATGCTCCAAGATAGGAGAGTGAAATTAATGGTGCTTTTCCCGTTGTGCGGAAGACTCAGCTGTTGGAAATGTGGATGAACTAGGGCTCCACACAGCAACCAGGAGGGATTTCACAAACTTGGCCTGAAATGAGAAGGGCGGTATAGCGTAGACAGTGGTCAGTCCTTCCCAACCAGGGGTAATTTTGTCCCCTACCCTGGCCGGGGACACTGGACAATGCCTGGAGACATTATTGGTTGTTACAATTGGGAGGTTGCGGGGTCCTACTGGCGTCCGGTGGACAGAAGCCAGGGATGCTTCTCAACATCCTGCAGTGCACAGGACAGTTCCACCACCAAGAACCATCCAGCCCCACATGTCAATCAAGCTGAGACTGAGAAACCCTTCAGTGGATCATGCTATTTAGATAAAGCTCAGAAACATGCTAAGCAAACTGTGTGTTTAGGAATACGTACATTCTTGGCAAAAGTATAAGGAAATGCATTTTACTAGATTGTTCCATGAGAGTGGGATTTTTGTTTTGTGGTTGTTCACATGTTAGTTGCTTCGCCATCACCTTTTAAATGAGTGAAGTAATTACTGATAAACATCAAGTTTGGGATAGTGATTATTTCAGGGTGGGATGGAAATGGAAAATGCTTTTTTGTATATCCTTTTTTTTTTGTTTGCTTTTTGAGACTGGGTCTCACTTCATCACCCAGGCTGGAGTGTGGTGGCACAAACACGGCCCATTGCAGCTTTGACTTAGGCTCAAGTGATCCTCCCACCTCAGTCTCCCGCATAGCTGGGACTACAGGCATGTGGCACCATGACCGGCTAATTCTTTTATTTTATTTTTTGTAGAGATGGGGTCCCTCCATGTTACCCAGGCTGGTTGCAAACTCCTGGGCTCAAGCAATCCTCCCACTTTGGCCTCCCAAAATGGTGGGATTACAGGCATGAGTCACCATGCCTGGTCTTTTTATGTCTTAAATATATTTCATAACAATAAAAAATTCCCTGAGAGAGGGGCAAAAACAGTGTATTCTTCCTACTTTTAAAGACAGACTCACCTCCGATCTGGGCTCCCCCTCTAACTAGCTTTATGATCTGGACATGGTGATCAGTTTGAGTCTCAGTTTTTCTCATCTGTAAACTAGGTTCCTACCTCCTGTATTTGCCATTTAAAAATGCTGACAGGGTATGATGAGTCATGCCTGTAATCCCAACACTTTGAGAGGCTGACCACTTGAGGCCAGGAGTTTGAGACCAGCCTTGCCAACATGGCGAAACCCTGTCTCTACTAAAAATACAAAAATTAGCCGAGCGTGGTGGCCCACAACTGTAATCCCAGATACCCAGGAGGCTGAGGCAGGAGAATTGCTTGAACCCAGGAGGCAGAGGCTGTAGTGAGCCGAGATTGCACCACTGCACCACAGCCTGAGCGACAGAGCAAGTCTCCGTCTCAAAAAAAAAAAAAAAAAAAAAAAAAAGACTGTTTCAAAAAATAAAAAAAAGATGTAGCACAGCGGCTAGGAAAATACTTGGAAAGATCTGAGGAGCAGGTAGTATTGATTCCTTTGTTTCTGTGGCTCCCTGCCCCTCCCCTTCATCATCCCTGAATCCTATGGCTCTATGTCTTTGAGGAGGGTCACCACTGAATCTTCAGTGGAGACGCAGCATATGCACGGATGCTACATACATGTAGTGAATTTGCAAAACTAAAGGAAGAATTTTTTAAATTTCTGGACAAAAGGCAGCCAGCAGTTGGGGAGGGGTTGGAGGCAAGCAGGGCTGTGCACATATATATGTGAATATGAAGACATGCACATGTGTACATGTGACTGTGAATGACTATATGTGTGTGAGCCTGTGTCTAGGCATGTGTATAACTATGTGTGTGCATGTGTGTGGTCTATGAGCACATATGTATCTATGTGCACATTTGATATGTGTGTGTGTGTGTGAGTGTGTGGTGTAGGCATCTTCGCATATGTGATTGTGTATATGCATGTGGTTCTGTGCCTGAAAATGTAAGTGTGGATGAGAGAGGTGCACACAAGCACATATATAAGTAAATCTTCATTCACGCATGCAGGCATCTGAGTGTGTACCAATGTATATGTATTTGTGATTATGTGCATGCAAGTGTCTACACCCTACTAAAGGTATATGTCTGAGTCTCTCTCTCTTCCTCCTTCCCACTTCCCCCACTCCTTTTCCTTCTCCTTTTGCCCAGGTGTGCTGGCCCGAGAATGACCACCTCAGGTGAGCCTCCTGGATCTCTGGCTTTGGGCATTCCCAGCAGGTGGGAGGCAGCTTAAGGCAGGCTCTTAGCAGGTGAAAATCCAGCTCCAGCCCCCGCTGAGCCCCAGCGAGAAAGGAATTGCCTGCAGGCTCTTCCCTAATCCTCCAACGGAACCTCCCTCACTTACCTCTCTCTGTGGTAACAAAGGATCTTTCTGCTCTGGTGGTCACATTCCTGACAGCTTAGTTCAGAATGGGGGAAGGGACAGCAGGATTTTGGGGGGCCGTTGGGCAATTTCTATTGGCCTGAGTTTCCTCCTCTGAGAAACTGACACAGAGTGGGAAGAAGACAAGCAGCAGAAGGGTCAGTAGGCAAAACTGTATTGCTGATGTGTTGTGTATTACCAACCTCCACGCTTCCCCATTTCAGACTTAGATGTGCTCAGCAAGTGTTTACTGAAAACCCGGTACTGGGGGCCAAAAACCCAGAGATGAACAAAAGGCATTTTTCTATTTTGGGGAGGTGGTGTTGAAAGTGGAGATGGGAAAGGAACCTAGGGACACAGATTGCCAGAGTCCTGGTCAAACATGTTCCAGGAGGCAGGTAGGGATTTAAAACCTTTCTGCAGGCGGGGCATGGTGGCTCATGCCTGTAATCCCAACACTTTGGGAGGCTGAGGCGGGTGGATCACCTGAGGCCAGGAGTTCGAGACCAACCTGGCCAACCTGGTGAAACCCCATCTCTACTAAAATTACAAAAATTAGCTGGGTGTGGTGGTGGGTGCCTGTAATCCCAGCTACTCAGGAGGCTGAGGCAGGAGAATCACTTGAACCCAGGAGGCAGAGGTTGCAGTAAGCCGAGATCATGCCATTGTACTCCAGCCTGGGCAACAGGGCAAGACTCTGTCTTTAAAACAAACAAACAAACAAACAAACAAACAAAACCCCACCTTTCTGCAGCTCATTTCACTGGCCTAATTAATGTCCATATTCTTTGCTGTGGCATTCAATGTCCTCTGTTATGGGGGGAGGGATAACTGGAGAAGGTTTCTTGTAGGTACCGGTATGTGAGAGAGAACTGGACCCTACAGAACAGGTAGAGTTTGGGGAAGTGAAGATGTGAGGGAGGGGCCTTTAGAAGAAAGCTCATGGCTTAAGAAGGGGTCAGCTGCTGGACCTTGAGTCTGGTTGGTCGTCAACCAAAGAAATTAGGGTGGTGACAAGGCTGTGCTAAATTCCATGTATTGATATTGGTGCATGGTGGAGAGTGTTCCAGTTGGTAAGGTGACTTCATTCCTGTTACTTTACCTTTTCTTCTCAACCCAGTGAGGCTGATGTTATTATGTCCATTTGACATTTGAAGAAATGGAAGAAAAGGAAATAGTAGTGACTCACTCCAAGTCTGTACAGGGCTCAGGCCAGTACTCCTTTTTCTATAGCACAGCTGCCTGCCCTGCCCCTCTGTGAGAAGAAAGTCCTTGAGATCCCAGGGCTGGGAGATCTCTTGGAGGATGGCAGATTCCTGTTACTTTTGTTTATACCTACTTACGTTTTGACTTTGTCATCAAACATCTGTTCCTTAATGTCATCACTAGGAACATGCTTCTGTTCCTATAAGTTCCCCCATTTATCCGGCCACCCATCCATCCACTCCTCTATTCATCTACATTTTTAGCACTCCTATACATCCACTCATCCATTTATTCATCCTCTTACTACCTACTCATCCATCCATTCATCCATCCACCCATCCATCCATCCATCTACTCCCCCCAACCCACACATCCTACTTTCTCATTCATCTGCCTACTCACTATTCACCCATTCATTTCCCCATCAGTCCATGTATCCATACACCCAGTTATCCATCTTTCACCTATCTATCCATCCATACGTTCATCTATCAATGCCCTCCTGTCTGTTCACTCACTTATCCATCCACATACCCACCAATCTATACTCCTTTCCATTCATCCATCCATCCATTCATCCATCCATCCATCCATCCATCCATCCATCCATCCATCCATCCAAATACTCACCCATTCATCCATCTACCCACTATCCATTCTCTTACTTACCCACTTATCCATTTATATACCCATTTATCCATCCACACATTGACCCATCTATGTATCCACTCATCTATCCAGCCATCCACCTGCAGATTTAGCCAACCCACAATCATCTACTCATCCATTTATTCATTATTCACCTATATTAACCTCTCCTTCATTTACCCACCACATCCATCTACGCATCCATTTACCTACCCATCTACCCACTCAGCCACACACCCACCCAATTCCCAATCAACCCTAGACTATCTACCTACCTATCTCTTTGACCAACCAATCAACCATCCATCCAAATACTCAACTGATCACCCTCCCATTAATCCATTCATCCAGTCACCTACCCACCCACCCATCATTCCTGGGCACAGACTCATCATTCCATGTGAGAGTCCAGGTTGGTCTACCCAAGCCAGTGCTGCCTGCTTACAGGGCTGCCATGACTCATCCCACATGCAGGAAGGGGAGGTGGA
Organism: Homo sapiens; assembly: GCF_000001405.40. Lineage (NCBI taxonomy): Eukaryota > Metazoa > Chordata > Mammalia > Primates > Hominidae > Homo > Homo sapiens. The sequence goes on from NC_000012.12 coordinate 113,590,284, forward strand.
GAGGCAGTAACTTACATGCAATCTGCCCTAGGGTTTATTTTTATTTTTATTTTTATTTTTGAGACAGAGTCTTGCTCTGTCAGCCAGGCTGGAGTGCAATGGCACAATCTTGGCTCACTACAACCTCAGCCTCCTGGGCTCAAGCGATTCTCCTGCCTCAGCCTCCTGAGTAACTGGGATTACAGGCGCATGCCACCACACCCAGCTAATTTTTTGTATTTTTAGTAGAGATGGGGTTTCACTATGTTGCCCAGGCTGGTCTTGAACTCCTGACCTCAGGTGATCCACCCGCCTCGGCCTCCCAAAGTACTGGGATTACAGGCTTGAGCCTCTGCGCCCGGCGATTTCCCCTAAGGTTTAAAGGTCACCTGAGTGCTCTTTCTTCCAGGCCCAGCGGTAAGAATTCTGGTAACTGAAAGAAAAAGAGAAACAAGGAGACAGAAACCTGGGGAAGGAGTGGAGAAGAGAGAGGAAATGATAGAGACCAGTGAGTGAACTAAAGAAGGGGAAAGAGGCCAGGTGTCATGGCTCATGCCTGTATTCTTGGAGCACTGTGAGGCTGAGGTGGGAGGATCGTTTAAGCCCAGAAGGTCGAGGCTGTAGTGAGCTATGATCCCGCACTGCACTCCAACCTGGGCGACAGAGCAAGACACTGTTTCAAAAAAAAGTAGGGGTACGGGGAGAAAAAGAAATAAACATGGGCCGGGCGCGGTGGCTCACGCCTGTAATCCCGGCACTTTGGGAGGCCGAGGTCGGCGGATCACGAGGTCAGGAGATCGAGACCATCCTGGCTAACACGGTGAAACCTCGTCTCTACTAAAAATACAAAAAATTACCTGGCCATGGTGGCAGGCGCCTGTAGTCCCAGCTACTCGGGAGGCTGAGGCAGGAGAATGGCGTGAACCCTGGAGGTGGAGCTTGCAGTGAGCCGAGATCGCGCCACTGCACTCCAGCCTGGGCGACAGAGTGACACTCCGTCTAAGAAAGAAAGAAAGAAAGAAAGAAAGAAAGAAAGAAAGAAAGAAAGAAAGAAAGAAAAAAGAAAGAAAGAAAGAAAGAAGGGAGGGAGGGAGGGAGGGAGGGAGGGAGGAAGGAAGGAAGGAAGGAAGGAAAGAAAGAAAGAAAGAAAGAAAAAAAGAAAGAAAGAAAGAAAAACATGCGTGCAGAGAGAAATAGGAAGTGGAATACAGGAACAAGGGAGAGAGACAAATAGATGATCATATGTTATGTCGGCGGCGGTGGCGGGGGGTGGGTGGGGAGGAAGCAGAGGCTAGAGTGTCCCTAGCGTCACGCCCTGTCGCCCTCCCCTGAGCTCCCGGAAGCCCATGGGGCCGCGGCCAAGTTTCCCCGCCTCCCGAGGAGAGACAGAGAAGCCACGAGTCGCCGGGTGGGCGCGGCGCTCCTGGGCTCACCGGGGCGCATTGGCACTGGCGGCGGCTGCGCGGGCTCGGCCGGCCCCACCATCAATTAAGCGACCGCGGGGTCCGGCGAGCGGCAGCGTGTGTGGAAATTACCTTTTGATTTCTTAATTACATTGTCCTCACCTGCAGCTCAACCCGCCTAGGAGAGGCGCTCGCCGAGCTCGATTCTCCGGGTGCCATAAATTAGGACGCCAGTCGCCGGCGAACGCTGGGGGCTTCCAGTATACCTTCCAGCGCAGCCCGCAGGCTATTTTTATCTCCCTCAGCACCTCGGCACCTCGGAGGAGCTTCTGCTAATTCACTACCCCGACACCGTCTCATCTCCCCTGCAACCAAACCCAAGTCTATTCCCAGGCGTAGGGGAGTTGGGCTCTCACAGACCTGGGTTCCAAACCCAGCCTCTGCCAGGCCCTGACTGTGTGACCCTGGGCGAGGGCATCCACCTCTTAGAGCCTCAGTTTCCCCATCTGTAACATGAGAATAAAACATAGCTCCCATTTGTCTGGAGGGTAAGGCTTAAAGGAACTGCGCCTTGTGAAGGCTTAGTCCCACTGACTCTGATTCATTCGTTTCGTGAGTTCACCTTGAGTGCCTACTGTGGATCTAGTGCTATTCTAGGCTTTGCAGATAAAGAGATGAACAAAACAGTGTCTGACTTCTTGAAGTGAGCAATGGCTATGATTTATTATTATTATTTTATGATCAAAAGGTTCCAGGGTTTTTGAGACTCTTGGCGGATGCTGCAGATGGGTGCAGGGAGACATGAGGGTGCTGCTGGGGAGGGCAGGTGAGGATTTAGGGTGGAGGAATCGTCAGGTTGGAGTGGAGCTGACCCACAACACAGACATAAAGGCATCCCAGAGATCAAGGTATTTGACAGATGGGGGAGTGACTTCCCTATGCCCGGCTGAGGCACTGGTAGAGCTTGGGTCTGACCTTTCAGTGTCTTCTCTCCCCATAGCTTGGTGATGCACGAAGTGTGGTTCTAGACCAGCAGGTTCGGCCTCATGAGAATTTGTTAGAAATGCAAATTCTCAGGCCGTACCCCGAGACCTCTGAAATTAGAATCTCTAGGGGTGCATCCAAGGAATCTGTGTTTTGACAAGCTCTCAAGGGGGTTTTTTATGCCCAGTAAGGTTTGAAAAGCACAATATGGCCGGGCGCGGTGGCTCACACCTGTAATCCCAGCACTTTGGGAGGCTGAGGTGGGCGGATCACTTGAGGTCAGGAGTTGGAGACCAGCCTGGCCAACATGATGAAACCCTGTCTCTACTAAAAAAATGCAAAAATTAGGCGGGCATGGTGGTGCACGCCTGTAATCCCAGCTACTTGGGAGACTGAGGCAGGAGAATCGCTGGAGCCCGGAGGCAGAGATTGCAGTGAGCCAAGATCATGCCACTGCCCTCCAGCCTGGGGCAACAGAAAAGAAAAGAAAAGAAAAGAGAAAAGAAAAGAAAAGCATAGAATTGCCCTAACAAATGCAGGGTTTCCCTTGTTCACTGCCTTGATCTCAGAAAATGGATCATTGTGCCTCCTTTTATAAGAATTCAAGTTGCATCCAGACTGAGACATCCCACATGCTATAAACATGTACTTCAGGGGCTCCCAGACCCACTGACACCCAGGTTAGAGCCTGTGTCATAGCCCAGGCTCACGTTGGGATTACCTGGGGAGTCTGAGAAAGTTCAGATACCTAGGCCCCTCCTCAGACCAATTCAATCTGCATTGCTGGGAGAGGTCCTGAGTCTCAGTCTTCCAAAGCTGCAGGTGATTCTGGTGTTAAGGGAGGATTGATAGCAACTGCCACTGTAGAAGCTGACCAGAGTGGGAAGTCAGAAGTCTCCATTTCCAAGCCCAGTAGTCCTGCCACTGACTCACTATTTGGGGCCAAATATGGTATCCCCTTCGGCACCCACCTAGGTCATATTCTGTCAGTTTATCAGGTCAGAAGCAATTGGAGAAACATGCAGAAAAGGCAGGTTCTACATGGGGTCCCCCTCCTAGAATTTGAGCCCTATGTAGGTTTGAGGTAGGGCCTGAGAATATGCTTTTTATTTTATTTATTCTTTTATTGAGACAAGGTCTTGCTCTGCCGCCCAGGCTGGAGTGCAGTGGTGTAATCATGGCTCACTGTAGCCTCAACTTCCCAGTTTCGGTGTGATCCTTCTGCTTCAGCCTCCCGAGTAACTGGAACTACAGGTGTACCACCATACCTGGCTAATTTTTGTATTTTTTGAAGAGACAGATTTGCCCAAGTTGGTCTTGAACTCTTGGGCTCAAGTCATACTCCCTGCCTTGGCCTCCCAAATGCTGAAATTATAGGTGTGAGCTACCCTGCCTGGTGAGAATATGCATTTTAAAAGAGCTGCCAGGTAAACTTTGCTACAAACATCCACTCTGAGAGATTCCATGGGAGCAGCAGAGCAGGCAAGTTAAGGACCTGTTTGAACCCTAATTTCATTTTACATCACAATCCTGGCTGTCTCCTTTCCAACCCCTTCTCTCACCTAATTTAGAGTTATACTTTTTTCCTCTTTTGAGCATGTTTATTTAAACTCCTTTAAATTCATGTTTCTTGATATTTTTAAAATATTAATTGATAGCCAGGTGCAGTGGCTCATGCCTGAAACCCTAGCACTTTAGGAGGCTGAGTCAGGAGGATGGCTTGAGCTCAGAAGTTTGAGACCAGCCTGGGCAACATGGTGAAACCCTGTCTCTACTAAAAATACAAAAATTAGCTGGGTGTGGTGGCACCTGCCTGTAGTCCCAGCTACTTGGGGGGCTGAGGAAGGAGGATTACTTGAACCCAGGTGGTCGAGGTGGCAGTGAGTCAAGATGGTGCTACTGCACTCCAGCCTGGGTGACAAAGTGAGACCCTGTCTCAAATATATATATTAGTTGAAGGAGACACTTTTTTGGGGGTTATGGAGGAGAAGGTTCCCCCTCCCGCAGTATATGTTTATCAAATATTGATCAAAATTCTCAAAAATGCTTCTACTAAGCTCTTGCTTCCAGAAAAGGTGGCATAACAGAGACCAGATTTATTATCCTGCCTTAAACAACTGGAAAACCAGACCAAATATTTATTTATTTACTTTTACTTATTTAGTTTTAACTTTTATTTTAGGGTCAGGAGTATATGTACAGATTTGTCACATAGGTAAACTTGCGTCATGGGGGTTTGATGTACAGATTATGATGTTGTCACCCAGGTACTAAGCTTAGTAATCAATAGTTATTTTTTTCTGATCCTCTCCCTCCTCCCACTGTCCACCTTCAAGTAGGCAATGGTGTCTGTTGTTCCTCTTTCTGTGTCCATGTGTTCTCATCATCTAGCTCCCAGTTATAAGTGAGAACATGTGGCATTCGGTTTTCTGTTCCTGTGTTAGTTTGCTAAGGATAATGGCCTCCAGCTCCTTCCATGTTCCTGCAGAATACATGATCTTGTTCTTTTTTATGGCTGTGTAGTATTCCACTGTATATATGTACCACATCTCCTTTATCCAGTCTATCATCGATGGGCATTTAGGTTGATTCAATGTCTTTGCTGTAATGAATAGTGCATGAATGTGCATGTGCATGTGTCTTTATGGTAGAATGATTGATATTCCTTTGGATATATTCCCAGTAATGGGATTGCTGGGTTGAATGTTCTCTTTTCAGCTCTTTGAGGAATTGCCACACTGCTTTCCACAATGGTTGAACTAATTTACACTCTCACCAACAGTACATGAGCATTCTCCTTTCTCTGGCAACCTTGCCAGCTCTGTTATTTTTTGACATTTTGACAATAGCCATTCTGACTGGTGTGAGATGGTATCTCATTGTGGTTTTGATTTGCATTTCTCTAGTGATGAGTGATGTTGAGCGTTTTTTCATGTACTTATTGGCTCCATGTATGTTTACTTTTGAAAAGTGTCTGTGCATGTCCTTTGATTATTTATTTATTTATTTATTTAATTTATTTTTTAAGATGGAGTCTCGCTGTTGTTGCCCAGGCTGGAATGCAATGGTGCGATCTTGGCTCACTGCAACCTCTGCCTCTCAGGTTCAAGCGATTCTCCTGTCTCATCCTCCTGAGTAGCTGGGATTACAGGTGTGTGCCACCATGCCTGGCTAATTTTTTTTTTTTTGTATTCTTAGTAGAGTCAGTGTTTCACGATGTTGGCCAGGCTGGTCTCAAACTCCTGACCTCAGGTGATCCGCCCGCCTCGGCCTCCCAAAGTGCTGGGATTACAGGCGTGAGCCACCACCCCCAGCCCTTTGACCACTTTTTAGTGGTGTTGTTTGTTTTGTGCTTGTAAATTTCAGACAAAATATTTAAAAGCAACAGTTTTAGGCACTGAACAACAGGCAGTCTAGGTCTGTGTCACTGAAAGAAGGAAAACGAGGAGACCTCTGGGTTTCCAAGCCATAGCACAGGGAGGGGAAACCCAAAGCGCTTGAGAACTTCCTGAGTGAAGTCAAGATAGAGTTAGGAGTTCAAGGAGTCCAAGGGGGTAGAATTTATGGGATGGGGGAACTGGAGAGTAGAGACCTTCCTGGGGAGATAACTCCAGAAATCAGGAGAGAGGTGCTCTTATGTCCTTGGTTCTGGGTTCTGTGCATTTGCCAGAGGTAACTTCCTGAAGCCAAGGAGAGAACCACCAAAAGGAGTAGGTAGAACAATTCCTAGATCTCACATAGGGCTGGGATAGCTCATGTGACCATGGACAACCCTCATAAGAGACCAGCCATGGGGTAGGGTCCTCAGAAGAGTATAGCTGTAGGAGTGGGGATAAGTTATCCCTAGATGAAAGACTGCTGCTTTGACACTGCCCTAAGAAAACATAAAAACAAGATTTGAAAGCTACAATTGGTTCTAAGTAACTTAACTGTTTGCTAGAACAAAACTCAGCACTATTTAAAGGACTACAACAAAACTGAGTAACCAAAAGTAAAACTGTTTTTCTTATAAGGTTAAACGTACATTTATCAGATCCAGCAGTCCCACACTGAGGTAGTTATTCAAGAAAAATGAAAATGATATTCACACAAAGACTTATACTGAATTATTATTATTATTATTATTACTATTATTTTTGAGATGGAGTTTCACTCTTGTCACCCAGGCTGAAGTGCAATGGTGCGTTCTTGGCTTACTGCAACCTCTGCCTCTTGGGTTCAAGTGATTCTCCTGCCTCAGCCTCCTGAGTAGCTGGGATTACAGGTGCCTGCCACCACGCCCGGCTATTTTTGTATTTTTAGTAGAGATAGAGTTTCACCATGTTGACCAGTCTTGAACTGGTCTTGAACTGACCTCAGGTGATCCGCCCGCCTCCGCCTGCCAAAGTGCTGGGATTACAGGCATGAGCCACCGCTCCTGGCCTATGCTGAATTTTTTACAGTGGTTTTACTCAATATACCTCCAAACTGGGAAGAATTCAAATGTCCACCAAATAGTGAATGGATATCAAGCAGTGTTACTTCCACATACAAGGGAATGCTACTCGAGAGTAAAAATAAATTTACTACCGATGTACACCACACCATAGATGAATTTCAAAACCACAATGCTGAGCGAAATTAGTCAGGAATGAAAGGTTACATAGTGTATGATCCCACTGATATAAAATTCTAAAAAAGGCAAAACTATAGTGATGGAAAGCAAAACTTGGTTGCCGGGGGCTGGAAGGGGGTTGGGTGTGGGGTGGGAGAGGGAATGATGCCAAAGAAGCAGTTTTCAAGTGATGGAAATCTTCTATTTCATGATTGTAGTGGTTGTGTATAATTTGACAAAACTCATTGACTTGCACACTTAGAATTGGTTAATTCTATTCTACGCAAATTATACCTCAATAAAGCAGATTAATAAAAATGTTCATGCCCTCTGGCTGCAGAATTTTACTTCTCAGAAGGTATCCCAAGGAAATATTCAGAATGTGGACAAGGATTTATGAACAAGGATGGCCTTCAAAGAATTGTTTCTTATGGTGAAAAATCATATACAAGCAAAATATCCAATTGTAGAGGTGGGATGAAATAATGATGATATGTGCATAGGATGGATTGCTGGGCAAATTATTAAAATAATTTAATGACCTGGGAAAAATACGCATGATGAAATGCCTGCTGAAAGACAAAATGTGAGCTAGGAGTGCAGATACCTGTGTTGAATCCTGGCTGTGCCACACATGGCTGTGTGATGTTGGGAAAATGCTTAGCCTCTCTAATCCTTGATTTTCTCATCCTTACAATGGAGATGCAAGTAACACCTATTATACAGGTTGCAGTCAGGATTAAATACAATAACACTAGTAAAATTCTTAGCATTTGGCATGTGACGAACATGGTAAATGCTAGTGAAGATTATTTGCTATGACCAAAGTCCATAAATGGCAGGACAGTTGTCTAAAATTCTCTGTAAAGGATAAGACAGAAATATACAAGCTTGTTTAGCGTGGTCGTCTTTAGGCTATGGAAAGGTAGTTTATCTTATTTTTTCTCCTTATACTTGTCTTTATTTTTCAACTGTTCTATAATAAGGATGTGTTACTTGTAGAATCAGGATCAAACCAATAAGCGTTGTAAAGAAGAGTTTCCTTTGCATTTCTGAAATTCTAAAAATGTATATAGAAGCATCATTCTAGACATAGAGTATTGATTAGGGGGTATAAGGTGGAGATGAGAGGAATACAAGGATGGGGAAAATATGATTCTTGCTTTCAAAGTGTTAGGTGGGCATGGTGGCTCACACCTGTAATCCTGGCACTTTGGGAGGACCAAGTGGGCAGATCACTCGAGGTCAGAAATTGGAGACCAGCTTGGCCAACATGGTGAAATCCTGTCTCTACTAAAAATTAGCCCAGCATGGTGGCGTGCACCTGTAATCCCAGCTAGTAGCCTCCCTAGTAGGGAGGCTGAGGCAGGAGAATCACTTGAACCCAGGAGGTGGAGGTTGCAGTGAGCTGAGATCGTGCCACTGCATTCCAGCCTGGCTGACAGCGAGACTCTGCCTCAAAACAAACAAACAAACAAACAAGAAAAACAAACAAACAAAATAAAAACAACAACAACAAAACAAACCCAAAGTGTTTGCAACATACTTGGGTATATACAGTTGTAAAACATAGAAACAAATAATCCTAACACAAAATGGAAAGGACAAGCAGCAAGATCTGCAGAGGTACAAGTAGTACGACAGAAGTGCTGTGGCAATGCCCTAGAAGGAAATGTTGGCGTTGCCTGGGAGCAATGGGGTGGCTTCCCAGAGAATGAGTGATCAAGCCCAGCTGGGAGATGAACAGCACTCCTTGTGGAGGGCACTGCATGAGCAAAGCTCTGGAGTTGAGATTGTGCAGACCATCTTCAGAGGATGATGAGTTGACTGTTGGGGCTTGATTGCGGGGTGTGTATGACAGAGGGGAAGGGGAAGATAGAGGCAGCCAAGCTCATGAAAGATCTTGGTTCTAGTTTTGGGGCAGTGACCACGTGTCAGCACTGTTCTGAGCACTTCACAAGTGTTTACACTTTTAAACTTACGAAACCCTGAGTCAGGCAGTATTTCAAGCTCCGTTTTACAGAGAGCAAACCGAAGCATAGACACAGGAACAGATTCGGTCACGCTCCCTACAGCTAGTAGGTGGCAAAATCGGGACTCAAATCCAGGCAGTGTGGCTCCCGGTCCCTGACTCCTTGACACAGCCCTGCACTGTGTAGATCAGGCTTGGATATTTTCCCTTTGCAATAGGAGGCCATGGATGGTTTCATACAGGAACTAAAAAGTGACTTTGGCGAAGACGTAATCCTGTTCTCTACATCAGAGTAATTGCTTTTTCTTTCTTTCCTACACAAAAAGATGTTTGGTAAGAAACCAAAGGTGATCTGCTGTACAGGGGATAGGAGATGTGGATTTAACCCTTCAACTCTGACCCTCTAGGAGAAGCAAGACGTTTCTATTCCGTGCTGTGGATTTCTTGTCTTAATAAAGTTGGAGCTGGAAGGGGGAGGAGAAGAAAAGGGAGTGTTTCTAAGTGGGGATAAAAAAATCCCCACAAAACCCTGAAATTTCATCTCAGCCTCAAGTGGAGATTAACCATGCCAAAAATCTATGTTATTGATAACAATAATAATGACGATTATTATATTTTATTTTTCAATCCTGGTAATTATTGTACATTAAATCATTAGCATTCATTATTCCTACAATGTGTAATTAGGACAATGGTGGATAGATTGCTCTTGACTGTAATGAAGTTTTTATAATTGTAATTTATTGGCATCAAATTGCCTTTCTTAAAATGAATCTGAACATCACATTCTTAATTCTGGGGAGGGGGTGGCAATTATTTTTAATTAATGTTTCTTGTTTGTGCCACACAGGGCGAGCTGTCTGACCAAGCCAATTCTCTGGGTCTGCAAGGAAGTTAACCAAGAAGAGCAAAGGCATTCTTGAATCAGTATCTATCACGAAACATTTTCCTTTTTCCTGTCCCCCACCCTGGTTCCATCTCCCCTCCTTCAAGGCAGTGGCCACAGGAAAAAAAACACCCAACCATTTACCAATATGATTAGCCGTGGAGATGGGAGATGATGATGCAGATTGTTTAAGCCAATTTGTTGCTAGGTTTGAGGAGAATATTTTTTTCTTCCTTCAGAAATGGCTCAATTGGGCTGGGTGCAGTGGCTCACACCTGTAATCCTAGCACTTTGGAAGGCTGAGGTGGGTGGATTGCTTGAGCCCCGCAGTTCAAGACCAGCCTAGGCAACATGGCAAAACCCCGTCTCTACAAAAAATACAAAAATTAGCTGGGTGTGGTGGTGAGCACCTGTAGTGCCAGCTACTAGGGAGGCTGAGGTGGGAGGATGGCTTGAGCCTGGGAGGTAGAGGTTGCAGTGAGCCAAGATCACATCATTGCATTCTAGCCTTGGTGACAGAGCCAGACCCTGTCTAAAAAAAGAAAGAAAGAAATGGCTCAATTGCCAGCCTGTGCCTCGGGGACTATGTGTATGTGTCAGGTGGGGGTGGTTAGGCAGTGGCTCTTGGTTTTGTTGTCTGTAAATTTTATTGTGATGATTCATATAAGATGGCAAGCTCTTCTCTCTCACCATCCCCACCCAACAATTGGCTAAGGTGGCCTCTCCAAAGATATGAATCTACTTCTTGTTTCTAGAAAGGCCAAGTGAGAAGTCTTGGGGCACGTGTTTCTACTGTTGTAATATGAAGTTGCCTGTATTTGACTGGGTTTGACCTACAAAAAGGGCAATTTATTTGTTCAAACAAATCTATCCACCAGGATGGTAATCAATGAAATAACTCCTTTCCAAAGATGTTGATTAGGAGGGACAGAAAGGCCATTCGTTTTTAGGCAATTGAGTGAGCAAGAAGAGTGTTTGTAAAGGAGTATAAGGAGAGAGGAGGGGGCAGACTGAGGGCTACACAGAGAAGAAGTGGCCTGGAGAGAGGGACTGACTTACTTATCAACCATCCTACACCAAGCATAGGCCAGGCCCTTTCTGTGCGCATGTTCAAGGTGATAAGTGGCACTACCCTGGATCTCTCTGACTTCCAGACACCTGCACTTTCTACTGTTCCAGAAATGGACAGCTATCAGTCATTCACATCTTAGACTAGACACAAGACCAGCCTGATCTTTTGCCTCCTAAACTTGATCTTGGTTTCCTGGTAAAGGAACATTAGGCTTTATTGAGCTGAAAGGGAAGTAGTTCTAGATCCTGAAGACTAAGTTTCTACTGCCCCTATAGCCAGACCAAAGGGGCAGATGTCTACTTCATCTGTGATGGTGACATTCTACACCCTGGTTTGAACAGGGAGACTTTTGCCTTGTCCAGGAGGGATCTGGTGTCATGTCTGTGCTGAGATTCCAGGAGAACACACAGCCTTTGATACTCTGTATGTGTAAGGGGCTTGTGACATTTACAGTTGTCTAGTGAATATTGTTAAGGAGGACTGAATTCAGGGTAGGCACTTCTGTGGTTGGTGGTGGCTGGGGCAGGGCTTGGATCTGTGGTCAGGACTCAAGGGATCCTGAGAAGTTACTACAACCAGCACCTTGGGTCCAAATTAGTTGACAGCACCCATGGATAAAGACATGGTCTTCTAAGAGATGGTGAGGGCCCCCTGGCTCCATGGAGATGTGATATTGAGGGTCTGGGATGGGCGCAATTTTCAGCACCAAGGACAGAGGCCAAGCCAAGCCAGGACCGGGGACCTTCTAAGGTGAGCTATACATAATCCTATAGTTTTTAGAGATCTCCTGGTGTCATTTTGTGCAAGCTTCTTCAGTTGGCTTTCCTCTTTCTTGCCTCTCAGGGCAAGAATCTGGATTCTTGGATTCTGATATCTTATTCTAGCTCTGTCACTTATGAGCTGGGAAAGTTTATAGAATGGGTTAATAATTGGTTGGCTTGAAGATTAATGAAATCCTGCCTATAAAAAAGCAAAGCAAGGTACCTGGTAAAGTAAGTGCTCAATAAGGGGCATTTGTGGCTATTATTCTGGAGGTGGAGTTGGTAGCTATGATTAATAATAATGATGATAGCAACCTCCACTTATCGAGTCCTTACTATATCCTAGGCTCTGTCTTAAATGCTGTAAATGCAATATCTCACTCATTATCTATAACAACCCTGTTACAGATGAGAAATTGAGGCACAGAAAGGCTAAAGAACTTGGCCAAGGTCATGCAACTGGTAAGTGGTAGAAATGGGATTTGAATGAACCCATGTGAGTAGAGAGTATAACGCTTATACTATTATGTCAATGGCCTCAATAGTTCAGCTATGAACATTCAACAGCTGGAAAAATAATAGTAATTACTATTATTATCATCATCACTACCACCAGTTCCAACATCATTTATCTATTACTATTAATTATTAATTGATTCTGTACCTTCTCCCACCTCTTTCAAGAAGTTTGATCAAGGGACATGATGGGCTAAGGAGGAAGGTGCCGTGACAGAAGGAAAAGATTTCCTAGGAAAAGCATGAGGCATGGTGCTGGGCACCTTGGAGGATGTAAATACAGGTCCCAAATTTGGGGGACTTCAAAGCCTAGTAGAAGATTTTTTCCCCTTTTCATGTGAGTGGTTTTCTAGTGAAAACTGAAAACCTGTTATATAAATTCTTTTAAAAAGCTGTAACACTTAGTAGGGAAGGTAGACAGTTAAACAAATAACCACAGCACTAAGGTATAAACTACCACAGGTAAGATACGAAATGCTATGGGGAATCAGGAAGACAGCTATTTTCAGTTAGGGGTTAACTTTATGGAGGTCTTCCTGAGGGAGGAAGACTCTGAACTAAGCATGCAAATACAGGCAAGACTGGGACATCATGCCAATGAAGAGATGTTGGAAACAAAGCAGCCTGGACTGAGGCTCTTTCCTTCCTCCTCTTCCTCATTTTCTCCATCCTCCCCTCCATCTTGTCTTTCTTCCTTCTCTTTCTCCTTTCTGTTCTTATTCTTCTCTTCTTCCTCCTCCATTTCTTTCCCTTCTCTTCTTTCTTCCCTTTGTCCTTCCTTCTCCTTTCTCTTTCTCTTCTTCTTATTATTCCTCCTTTTCTTCCTTCTCTTCCTCTTCCTTCCACCTTCTCCTAATTATTTTATAATAATCAATTGACTCACCATATTAGAGAATCAGCCAAAGTCTGAGGACCTGAATGCTGGTAAGCCTTCCTTCCAGCTGTTTGCTTCACACTTCAGCCTTGGAGTGGAAATGCAACTCTAAGTGGAAATTGGGGTAAATTCTATTGCGGGTGAGGCAGCGTTTTTGTCAAGGAGGACAAAGCTTAATACCTACACTCAGGAAAGGCAATTAGAAGAATAAATCTGGTCAACCAGACCTTGTCACAGACCCAGCCCTGTCCTATTCTCTCTGTGTAACCTTCAGCAAAGAGCTATGCATCTGTTTCCACCTCTGTAAGATGAGGGTAAACTGGGATTCTCTCTTCACGGGGTTGTCACGAGGGTTAAATGAAATAATCGATGTGAATGTATTTAGCCTCATACCCAGCACATAGTAGATGCTAAAAAAAAGTTCACTTCCCATCTCCTTTAATTAATGAATCTCTACATTTAAAATGGGGTCTGTGGCTTTGGAGCGGGAGCGAGTCATGATGGGGTTGCGCCGGCAGAAGAGATGGAAGGCAGGAGAGAAGATCGCATTTCTGATGGGGTGAAGGTGGGCAGTGTAAATCTAATTTCTTGGCAAAAGCTGCAGTTTGCCAGCCCTTTTAATGATTATTTTTATTATGGATACAAATTAAAAATAAACTGTGTGTCTCAATCACAGCAGGAATTAAAATTGTTCCCTAATTGTTATCTTTGAATCAATCTAGCTTCCATTAGCTTTGCTTCTCAAGGTATAATTGAGGTGTGTGTGTGTGTGCGTGTGTGTGTGGGCCTGTGTGTGTGTGAGCATGCATATGTGTCTCCTTGGTTTGTGGGGAAGGCACCTTCCTCCATTTGATGCACTCCGTTGTCTTCCAAATTCCAGTTTCCTTTTTCCTTCCCCTTTGCTAAAGGCCTTGAGTGGCAGCAGAGTTGGTGAGGCTTGAACAATAGATCCCTGTCCCTATCCCACTATCCCTAAAATTTTTGTTTCAAAAATCAACATACTTTCTATGATACTGAGGGGCATTTTTTGATTGGGTTGAAGGTGGGAGAAGAGTGATCTAAAATCAATACGTTGGAGATTGCTAAGCTCAGTTTCTTCCTGAATATAGGGCTCTAGACTGTGAATTCTCTAGACGAGAAACAGGGCTTCTTGTTCATCTTGTTCTTGGCTATATTCCTGGCACCTAGAACAGTGTCTGGTACATGGTCAGTTCTCATTAAATATTGACTGATTCAACTCAATCAAGCATGTTGTACTAGAAGAAAATATGCGAAATGCATAGTACACAAATAACACGATCCCTGGTATATAGATAGTGGTAGTGATCAATAACACACAGCTCCTGTTCTTTTTATCACAGATACCCAAGCTCAGATGGACCTGAGACAATTTTTCCTCTTAAATTTTATTTTAATATTTGCAGTCTTACTAGTTGCCACTTATCAAGCTCTTGCTATATATACTTGATGCTTTACATGTGGTATTGTGAATTCTCAGGCACTCTTACTGTACCCATTTTACAGATAAGGAAACTGAGGCTCAGAGAGATGAAATCACTTGTGCAAGCTCACACAGCTGGTAAGTGATGAGGCTGGGATTCAAACTCAGATCTGCCAGGCTCCTAAACACCTATGATCTCTCTTGCCACCATCCTTCCCTACCTTATGATCAACAACTATTTATATTTTATTTTATTATTTTATATTTTTGGACACAGCATCTCTGCTGCCCAGGCTGTAGTGCAGTGGCACCATCATAGTTCACCACAGCCTCAAATTCCCGGGCTCAAGTGATTCTCCTGCCTCAGCCTCCCAAGTAAATGGGACTACAGGCACCTGCCACCACACCCAGCTAATTTTTGTATTTTCAGTAGAGATGGGGTTTTGCCATGTTGGCCAGGCTAGTCTCAAACTCTCAATCCCAAGTGGTCCACCTGCCTTGGCCTCCCAAAGGGCTGGGACTACAGGCATGTGTCACCATGCCTGGCTAATTTTTGTTTATCTTTTTGCAGAGATGGGGCGGGGGGTGGGGTGTCTCGCTATATTGCTCAGGTTGGTCTCGAACTCCCAGCCCAAGCAATCACCCCACCTTGGACTCCCAAGGTACTGAGATTACAGGTGTGAGCCACTATGTCCAGCCTCCCACTTATTGATTTCTTCCAAGTAAGCAAGCTAAGTATTGTTGGCCTTATTCTTCATATGAAGAAAATGAGGCCCCAAGAAAATTCTTAAGACTTGTTTGGGGGTGGGAGGTATCACATGCATGAAGACCTCGTGCTAGTGGCCAGTGTACCACGTATGCATCCTAACCAGGGCATCACCCATTCCCTCCTGTGCTGGGCATCCAATACAATGGAAATTTAAAAATGAGAACCTTGGGCCAGGCAAAGTGGCTCATGCCTGTAATCCCAGCCCTTTGGGAGGCCAAGGCAGGTGGACCGCTTGGGGTTGAGAGTTTGAGACCAGCCTGGCCAACATGGCAAAACCCCATCTCTACTGAAAATACAAAAATTAGCCGGGTGTGGTGGCAGGTGCCTGTAGTCCCATTTACTTGGTAGGCTGAGGCAGGAGAATTGCTTGAACCCGGGAAGTGGAGGCTGCAGTGAACCGAGATCGTGCCACTGCACTCCAGCCGGGGCGACAGAGAGAGACTCTGTCTCAAAAATAAAATGAAATATAAATAAAAATGAGAACTTCAAAAAAAGGACTTTAAATCTAATAAATGAAGTTCATATAGAGAGACCAGAGTGGCTGCATTGTGCTTTCAGCAAGAAACTGAGGTTGTATCACTAAGAAAGGGGTGCTTTTCCAAGTGCTACACCTGGAAAGAATGAAGCATTTGTTCGTTCATGCTTGCATTAATATTCTTTGAGCACCTGTGATGTGTCAGGTCTGCACGAGGATCTAGGAATACAGCAGGAAACAAAAGAGCCAGCCCCTGCCCTAGGAGTTTATGAGCAAGGGGGAGAGACAGATTCAAAAAATATTCCCATAAGCATATAATTACAAGCTGTGATAAAACGTAGAAGGAAAAAGTACAGGGAATAACTAGAGATTATATAATAACAAGGGGACCCAATATCCCAGTGAGGGTGGGGCCGTGTGTGTTCAAGAAGGCTGAGGCATGTTTGAGCATCGATGTGGAGGAAGAGTTAACTAGGTGGCTCTTCTTCTAGGCAGAAGGCATTGGTTGCAAATGAGTCCAGGAAAAGGGACGAAGGCATCTTCCAGGAACAGAAGAGCAGCTGTGAATGGGGCTTAAAGGATGGGGGACAAGTGTGAGACTAACCCCGGAAAGGTAGACAGGGGCCAGATCCACAGGGCTTTGAGGCCAAGGTGTGATGGCAACAGGGATCTACTGAAAATCTTGAGGCCAAGAGATACTTTAATTGGATTTGTGTTTAAAAGACTGAGGTGAGAAGATCACTTGAGGCCAAGCATGGTGGCTCACGCCTGTAATCCCAGCACTTTGGGAGGCCGAGGTGGGCTGATCAGTTGAGGTCAGGAATTCGAGACCAGGCTGGCCAACATGGTGAAACCTCATCTCTACTAAAAATACAAAAATTAGCTGGGTGTGGTAGCGCATGCCTGTAATCCCAGCTCCTTGGGAGGCTGAGGCAGGAGAATTGCTTGAACCCGGGAGGCAGGGGTTACAGTGAGCCAAGATCGCGCCACTGCACTCCAGCCTGGGTGACAGAGCGAGACTCCATGTCAAAAAAAAAAAAAAAAAAAAAGATAACTTGAGGCCAGGAGTTCAAGACCAACCTGGGCAACATAAAAAGACCCTATCTCTATTTAAAAAAAGAAAAAAGAAAAAGATGAGCTGGCCATGGTAATGCACACCTGTAGTGCTAACTACTCAGGGGACTGAGGTGGGAGGATCACTTGAGCCCAGGAGTTCGAGGCTGCAGTGAGCCATGTTTGTGCCCCTGCACGCCAGCCAGAGTGACAGAGTGAGAGTCAGTCTCAAAAGAAAAGAAGCTCATTAAAAGGACACTCAGAGCAGCTCTTCTTGTGTTTTGGTATCTTGAGAATCTGTTTTGAAATGAGAAAGAAGGATCCATTCTAGCAGGGGTGCTAAAATAGACTGATGGTGTGTGAGGAGGAGGTTTGCCTAGAATACTTTATGGAACACCAGTGGATTGAGGACAGCATTCATGGCCATCATTTTAATTTGGAAAGTTTTCTATGTGCCATCATAGTTTTGGGAGTCATCTGTGGTGGTCATTAGGGCTGTTTCCGAATGCTTTGTTCTCTGCCTTCCAGGCATGTGGCAGGAATGAGCTTCTGTGACCACTTGAAGGAGGCCAGTCAAAAAGATCACACTGTGATATCTAGGCTGAGTCTTTATGAATACTTACCTTTGCAGTCATGGAAAGTTGGGCCCAGATGATGCCTCCAAACACCTGGGTCCTCAAGTGACCCCCTACAGTCAAAGCCTCCTTGAGAACCCACAGTAAAACAAGACTGAGGCCGGGCGCGGTGGCTCACGCCTGTAATCCCAGCACTTTGGGAGGCCGAGACGGGCGGATCACGAGGTCAGGAGATCGAGACCATCCTGGCTAACACGGTGAAACCCCGTCTCTACTAAAAATACAAAAATTAGCCGGGCATGGTGGCGCACGCCTGTAGTCCCAGCTACACGGGAGGCTGAGGCAGGAGAATGGCGTGAACCCGGGAGGCGGAGCTTGCAGTGAGTCGAGATCGCGCCACTGCACTCCAGCCTGGGCGACAGAGCGAAACTCTGTCTCAAAAAACAAAACAAAAAAAAAAAAAAAACAAGACTGAGTGAGAAACAAACTGCTGGGGCTGTTTGTTACTGTAGCATAACCTCGCCTTCCCTGACACATACAAAAGCTCTCCCACACGCTGCTCTGCCCACTGCCCACATCCCTCCTCAACCCCTCTCTCAGGAGGCTGCAGCCCCACCCGTAAGCCACATTCCTTCCAACCCCAAGGCTTTCATACTTGCAGTTGCCTCCAACCTATACAACCTTCTTTCTCTCGTCTCTTGGCAAATCCCTGCACCTCCTTCAGGTCTCAGTTTCAGTGTCTCATCTCACTGTTGGAGGTTTCAGAGGACATGAGATTTTCAGAGCACTGACCCCAGTATGTGATCACGTCTTTATTTGTTTTTTTTTGAGACGGGGATTGCTCTGTCACCCAGGCTGGAGTGCAGTGGTATGATCACAGTTCACTTGCAGCCTCAACCTCCTGGGCTCAACGCCTCCTCCCTCCTCAGCCTCCCAAGTAGCTGGGACTACAGGTGCATGCCACCATGCCCAGTTAATTTTTAAATGTTTTGTAGAGATGGGGGGGTCTCACTATGTTGCCTAGGCTGGTCTCGAACTCTTGGCCTCAAGTGATCCTCCAGTCTCAGCCTCCCAAACTGCTAGGAATACAGGTGTGAGCCACTGTGCCCAGCATCTAATGCTTTTTGAATGAATAAATAGATGAATGAAAGAAACCCATGTGATCTTGAATTGCCCCTCCCAGTATGGAGGAAAGAAGGCCCCGGACTTCCATTCCCCTTATCTTTGGCCAATTCCCCTTTCTGACCTAGGGTCACATTATGACATTCATGGGTTCTTTTTTCCATAAAAAAATTAAAAATTATATTTTATGACTGTGTAGGTATAAACATGAACATAATCCAGTCTAGATTCATTAATATATATACACATTATTATTATATTCATGTTTTCTTTTGATTTAAAAGAAATTGACATTAAAACATTCAATTAACATTAAAACATTTATACGGACCCCTTGAAGTATTGTGAGCCCTAAGCACTGTGCTTCCTGTGCCTAATGGATAAGTTGGTCCCTTCTGACCCAATTCCCTGTTCATTCATTCCTTCCTTCCTTCCTTCCTTCCTTCATTCATTCATTGAGCAAGAATTCATAGAGCAGCGTCTCAATGCAGAGACCAGCACCAGTCTTTAGCATGGGGGTGCTGGGATCCCAGACCCTGGGATCCCATCGTAGGCAGAAGTAGCCACTGTCTCCTTTTTTTCTGTCTCTGATATTCTAGTGGGGGAGATAAGCACTGAACAAGTGCAACAAGAAATAAATGTGTAAGTGATTCATACGTAATGTGTTTACACATTTATTTATAAATGTATTTATACCTTATGAATTATAAATGATAATGTTTCACACATTTATTGTAAATTACCAAGTTCCAGTGTCTTTGGAAGGCCAAGAACAAGGAAGTGTGAGGTGGTCTGTGGGAGAAGGAGGGTTGCTTGAGGAAGACTTCCCCAGTCAGAGCTGCAAGTTAACTGTGCCGGGAGGGTGGGGAAGCGCATCCCAGGCAGAGGCCTGGCATGAGCAAGGGTCCTGAGGCAGGACACAGTAGAGCATCTTTGAACAACTTCTCCACCAGCTTCTTCAGCATCATCAGAAAGCCACAACCATCCCTTAGGACTTCCGGATCCTCACTTTCTCTCCAGGCCTATCCCAAACAGGTTGCAGCCTGGTCCACAAGCTCTGAGCATCAGGAGAGCCCAGGAGGGCTGGTTTGATTAGATCACTGTCAGCCAGGGACGGAGGTTAATTGCTATTCTCTTTCTGAGTCTGGCTTGGCCCAGCAGCTTTGCCCACTGCCGTGTGTGTGTGCCTGTGTGTGTGTGTCCGTGTGTCTGTGTGTCTGTAGGTCAGTTTGGCCTCGGGCTGGGCGGAGGCCGAGGGGGCTGGGGGGAGGGTTGCCCAAGATTTTTCTGTGAGTTCTGAGCCTTGTCTTGTCTGGTGTGTAGCAAAGAGGAGTGCTTAACAAGCATTAAGGGACACAAATAATTCCCCTTTTCTCCTCTCCGCCTATTCTTCCCTCTCTCTTTTCTTGTAAATCCTGCTTCTTGCATGTGAATAGCGGAATGGCTTCATCTGGGACCTTTAATCAGATCCCTGGTAGGCTCTAGGAGGGCAAAGTGCCGGAGGGATTACCTTTTATTTTAGGTTTTTCTCCCCTAGTTTTGCCATTCCCCTCTTCCCCTCCCCTGGCTGTGTTTTCCTCCCTGGCGTTTGTTCTCAGCAGAAGTAAGTAAGGAAGGCTTAAAGCGCGGGGGAGGGGGGCTTACAAACTTAAGGGGATCGGGCCCTATTCAGCCGGGCTTGTCCACAGACTTTCTGCTTTTGTTCTCGGGCCATTCTTCAGCTGATTTCTTCACTCCAGCAAAAGCACTTTAATTCCCTTTTAGATACGGAGAATCCGTCCTCTTCCCCTCGCTGCCCCCTCCCTCTCTCCACCCCACACACCCCATTTCACTTTTTCAGACCCTTTATGCTTCGTCCTCGTCCTCCCCAACAAAGACTCAACATCCTCGCAAAGTATTTCTTTCACCGATGGGGGAAGCTCTGAAGAATCAGGGGGAGGGGAAGGGGAAGAGGGAGGAGAAGAGGGGGCTTCTCCGGGACCAGACCCCAAAGCCAGGCCAGGGGAGACCCGTGGCTTCAGACTGCACCCCCTTGGTCTGAGCTTTGCCTTGCTTGGAGAAGAAAGGCACTGATGCCAGCACGAGCGTGTGGAAGGAGAAAATGTCTGAAGGTGTGTCTATGTGGTTGTGACAGGAGGGATAGAGACATCGGAGACCTGGTGTGGGCTTTGTCAGCATTCCTGAAAGGGGCAGGGGGGTCCCAGAGAAAAGTCCGTGCAAGGAGAGGATACAGGGGCCTCCAGTCTCCGTCAAAATCCCCGACACCTCCTGGGTGCATTCCAGCGAAGCATCCCCGGGGTACCAGAGGCGCTGGGTCCGGGGCCCTCGCTGGGGCTTTTCAGCAACCAGGGAAAGGTTTGAGACCTGGAGGAAAAGGGTTGGCTGCAAAATGAGGAAAAGAAAACCCCCAATCAAAATTAATAAGTGCCGGATTGCAAGCCTACACAACGTATTTTATGTCAACTGCACTAATTGTTCAATTTGACATTCATAAAAATTTCATTGCATATAAAAACAATTTGTGGGGCAGGTTTTCTTTTTCTTTCCATTCATAACCTGCTTCCGTCTCCCTCCCTCTCACCTTACTTCCCTCCTTCCTAATAACCTAATGAATACCTGTGAACCAGCCACCCATCCCAACACTAGAACGTGCTAGTAACTTCCACTGACTGCACACTCCGATTCTAACGCCCTCCCTCCTTGCAAGAAGTTACCATCTTCCTAAGTTTTTGTCTTTCTCTTTAAAAAATAGTCGTTATCACCCATTTATATTCCTAAACAAAGTCCCTCTTTAGTTTGAGTTGATTTTCTCACTCTACCAGCGTCTGTGGGATGGCTGAGCCATCCTACCAAACCATCGATTCAGTGAGTTCCTTACAACCAAATTACAAAAGGAAAATGTGAAAAGTTCTTTCAAACATTTTTTACAGCAAAACCAGCTGTAGGAAATGGGTGTGTTGTGCTTTTAGTGGGTTTCTTAATGATGTAGGGAGGAGCCTTCAAGGTGAGAATGTCTAAGTGCCTGTTAATCACTGAAAGTGGTTCTGCCTCCAATCCTACTTTCATTAGGGGAGTAAGTCTATAGTCAATTACCAGCCTTGGCTTCCCTATCTATGAAATGGGAACAACAAATTAGCTCAGCTTTTTATTGAAAACATAAAAAGTGAGAGCGCGCGCGAGAGAAGCAATCTCACCGACTCGCATCCTAGAAAGATAAAACGAGCTTTCCCATCCTCTCTTCTTTCTGTCTGAGGCTGAGAAAGATGAGTTTCTCTTCTTCAAAATGTCGACAAATCGACGAAGGGCCATTTAAGGGAAAGTGGGCCGGGGCGGTAATAGCCCAATTGGGAGTTTGAACGGCAGAAGGGCTGGCTCCCTCTCCATGCCAGAGGATGGGCAATTACTGCGAGGCATTTTTTCGGGCAAAATAGAAGGCAGAGAAATAGCAAGTAGGAGCCCCAATTATCTGGAGTCATTCTCAGGACGAAAAACGCTGTCTCATTCTCCTGCAGCAAACTGTCGGCCAGAGGTGGGGCGGTTAGAGTGGTTAGGAGAAGACGGTGGAGATTCAGCAGGGATAATGTCTGGCCTTTCTCAGTAGGGGTGGAGGAGGACGGATGGATGGACGCTTTGGAAGCCGGTGTAGCTTGCATCTCCCTCCTGGCTGCTGTGGGGCACGAGTATGGCATTTTATTCTCTACCTTGTTCCTGTCTCCCACACCTGGCCCCATCACAAATAAATCAAGGGTTCTTTCCCTCTCTGTGCTTTTAGCTAGGCAGACAAAAAGGACAGTGTGTCTCCAGCCACCACAAGGGCTTTAGGCAGTGGTGTGTTGGTAAGATGTTTAACAACCGGCTCTACAAAGAAGCTCTGATTTGTAGAGTTTGTCAATTTCTTCAGTGTAAATATTCCCACCTGACATCACCAGATAGAGTTTGGAAGAGATAGGCAGTAGCATACCGTTATAGAGTAGTTCTACCACCCAGAAATGACAGATAGAAATGACCTCAGAAGCATAGATAATAGTAAAACGTAGACAAATAATCAGGACATGGTGAGTTTGGAGTGCTTATTACCTTTGCTTTAATATGATTGATTTAATTGTAAGCTTATTTTAGTTAATTTTTAATGGGTGGTTGAACACCCAGCTTGCCAAATTCCTGTACATGTGCTGGTCGGCTCTTGGGAACCAGCTCGAGCTGGCTGCAGCTCACTGCCTGCTTGCAGAATATTCTCTGTTTGCTCGGGGCCCACACACTCCTGTGTGCTTGTCATTGCTACATGATGTCAATCAGCAAATTTATCACTTTGTGATAAAGGAAAATCAATAGGCACTTTCCACTCTTCTCCCTGAAAAACAGCCTTCCAGGGGACCCTGGGAGATTGTGTTTTCAGATCAGGAAAGTGGAGTTTGCTGCATTCCCCTGTCTGGAGCTTATATTCTAGATTGCAAGATTGTGGCCTCGTTCCATGCCCATGTGTTCATTCAATAGCAAACCACGAATGCCTACTGTGTGCCAGCCTCTGGGAGAGGGAGATGGAACGAACTCAGTTACAGGCATTCTTCCCTTTCCAGAGAACCATCAACTCAGGAGCAGATGGTGGGCAAGAAGGCAGCTTCAGCCTCCACGGGTTCCTGCACTTCTCTATGAATCGGGGTTCCTCAGAAAGCCTCCCTTTGAGGACTTGCACTTCCCTCTTGCATCTCCCATTTTCTAACAAGATTTCTTCCCTTTGATCCTTAGACTGTTCCTAAGTTAGTTGATAGACTTAAATATAAAAAAGACTCCTATAACTTAATTGCAGAGCTACCTATGAGATTGGCACAGATCAGAAAGCTGAGAAATACAAAGTGTTGGTGAGGACATGGGGACACAGGCACGCAGCTGCATAGCACATTCTGGCATGACCTGGTCAGATTAAGTCTACAGATACTTCATGTCCCAGTAATTCTACTGCTGGGCATAGAGGACAGGTACATCCCTACCCAGGTCCCTCCTTCTTGCTTCTTGGGGTCACCAAACCAATAAGGGTCTAGGATGGACAGAGATCAACACTGATGGCTTTCTTTGCTTTCATCCACCTCCTGAATCTGTGTCCCCTGCATAAAACCCATTGAATGAGAGAAAAGATAAATTTTTTAATTTTAATTTTTTATTTTTTTAGAGATAGAGTCTCTCTGCTACCCAGGTTGGAGTGCAGTGATGTGATCACAGTTCACTGCAGCCTCAACCTCCTGGGCTCAAGCAACTCTCCCAGCCCAGCCTCCCAAGTGACTGGGACTAAAGTTATGCACCACCACATCTGGCTAATTAAAACCAAAACAAAACAAAACACTTTTTTTTTTTTTTTTGGTAGAGATGGGGTCTGGCTATGTTGCCTAGGCTGCCCTTAAACTCCTAGCCTCAAATGATCCTCCTGCCTTGGCCTCCCAAAGTGCTGAGATTTCAGGTCTGGCCACTGTGCCCAGCCCAGAAAAAATTGTTTTAGCTCCCTTTCAGCAACCATAATAAAATTTATTGAGCACTTACTATGCTACATGTGTTATCTCATGGAATCCTCACAACCATTCCAAGAAGGGGGACATATGATTCCTCCCAATTGAAAGTCAAGGAAACTGAGGCTCCAAGACCCATCATTTCTTGCCCAAGGTCACATAATCAGTAGATGCTGGAGCCTGCTGGGGTGTCAGCCCTGTCTGAACCTAGAGCCCATGGGACCTTTCCCCTCACTTGTCAAATTGAGTTACAACTCTCTGTTTATGCGTTCTTGAGGGCATGATCTGGGAACATTCACTGCCTAACCATAGTGTCTGGCATGCCATAGGTGCTCAATAAATGTTTTTTGTTTGTTTGTTTTTGAGGCAGGGTCTTGCTCTGTTGCTCAGGCTGGAGTGCAGTGGTGCAATAATAGCTCACTGCGGCCTCAACCTCCTGGGTTCAAGCAATTCTCCCACCTCAGCCTTTGGAGTAGCTAAGACTATAGGTGTGTGCCACCACGCCCAGCTCATTTTTGTTTATTTTTTGTAGAGATGAGGACTTGCTATGTTGCCCAAGCTAGTCTTGAACTCCTGACCTCAAGAGATCCGCCCACCTTGGTCTCCCAAAATGCTGGGGTTACAGGCATGAGCCACTGTGCCTGGCCTCAATAAATGTATGTGAAGTTAGCAAGGGGTTGAAAGAGAACATTTTTCCTCATCTTGGTATTGGGAGGATTAAAGGAGATAATGGAAACAAAATACTTAACATGTGCTCAATAATTTTTAAAAATTAGCTGTATGATGGTCTTGATCTTCCTGCAGGCTTATAAATAACCAGGTTTTTGGGAAAAGTCCCAAGCATAGGGAGTTGGGAGGGGATTTGGGGAGCAGAAGAAAATACAGTGTGAGGAAATTTTCAACACTGAATTGTTGAGCCCGGGAGCAAATGCACAAATCATGGACTCATAGAAAATCAGGCCTGGCAACAAACATTTAAAAAAATGCTCAACATCACTAAATGATCAGGGAAATATACATCAAAATCACAATGTCTTACTCCCGCAAGAATGGCCATCATCAAAAAATTTAAAAAAAATAGATGCTGGCATAGATGTGGTGAAAAGGGAACACGTCTACATTGCTGGTGGGAATGTAAACTAGTACAACCACTATGGAAAACAGTGTGGAGATTCCTTAAAGAACTAGAAGTAGATCTACCATTTGATCCAGCAATCCCACTACTGGGTATCTACCCAGAGGAAAAGAAGTCATTACATGAAAAAGATACTTGCACACACACTCATAGCATCACAATTAGTAATTGCAAAAATATGGAACCAGCCCAAATGCCCATCAATCAATGAGTGCATAAAGAAACTGGTGTGTGTGTATATATATATATATATATATATATATATATATATATATATATATATATATATATATGTATATGGTGGAATACTACTCAGCCATGAAAAGGGACGAATTAATGGCATTTGCAGCAACCTGGATGTGATTGGAGACTATTATTCTAAGGGAAGTAACTCAGGAACGGAAAACCCAACATTGTATGTTTTCACTCGTAAGTGTGAGCTAAGCTATGAGGATACAGAGACATAAGAATGATACAATGGACTTTTGGAACTAAAGGGGAAAGGGTGGGAAGGGGGTGAGGGATAAAAGGCTACAAATTGGGTTCAGTGTATACCGCTCGGGTGATGGGTGCACCAAAATCTCACAAATCACCACTAAAGAACTTATTCCTGTTACCAAATACCACCTGTTTCCCAAAAACCTATGGAGAGAAAAAAAAAAGAAAAAGAAAATCAGGCCTGGGATGATCCAGTCTTTGCTTCACAGTGATAGAGGAGAAACTGTGGCTCAGAGAGCAGCACTGATACCTGGATGTCTGGCTCCTGGGCCACTTCTTACTGCCACCTGGTTGTCCCATGAGTATCATTCCTCTCCAGAGTGGGAGAATAACTTGCCTACCCCATCAGATTTTTCTCTGACTTCCTTCTCTCCTTTCCTTTCAAGGGCTTGGGAAGAACCAGGCTCCTAAAATTTGACTTGAGCATCCATTGGTGAAGCTGCTTTCCTAGAAAAGAACTGGGTCCAGAGCCTCCTGAAAACTTGAGGTCTCTGTGTAAAGGTGGAGCAGGGGCCATCCCTCCGTGGGGACTGAGGCTGTCTTCTACATATGGCTTAGAGGTCTTATGGTTTCTTTGAGGTCACCTCTGGGCTGGTGGATGGAGCTCTGGGAGGAGCCAGAAGGCTGCTGGTGATAAAGAATACAAACTATGGCAGCAACTGGTCAAGGACACCCAAGTCCTGCATGGCTGCTGGTGGCAGCATCTGGGGAGAGAGGCTGAGCACAAGGTGGTCCCCTAAACTGATGGGCACAGGGCAGCGAGGGGATGGAGAAGGGGGAATGATGGGGATGCAAGAAGTCAGCCCAGCTGCTGAGAGCATCTCTGTCCTCTCTGTACCTCTCTTGCAGAAGGAAGGCCCCCTCGCCGGCCTTCATTCTGTTCCTTGCATGCCCCAAGCTTCCTCCCGCTGTGGGGTCTTTGTCCTGTGGTTCCTTCTGCCTTGAACACTGTCCTCTGAGATCATTGCTGGCTCCTTCACATCATGTGAGTCTCTGCTCAAATGTCATCCTCTCAGATCAGTGAATCCAAAGTCATCTCCCAGCCAGTCACTTCCTAGAACATCCCCTTTCCACTTCCTTTGTAGCCCTCAGCACTATCTGCAGGGACCTCCCTCATTTTCTGTGTGACTTTGGGCAGTTTCTTAACCTCTCTGTGTCACATTTTTCTTATCTGTAAAATGGTCATACTAGTACCCATCTCATGAGATTGTAATACTGATTAAGTGAGATGATGTATGTAAAGTGCTCAGAACACTGCCTGGTATGGAGTAAGCAGTATAGAAGTGTTAACAATTATTATTATTATTATTATTATTATTATTGTGTTTGATCCATTGTCCTCCACCCCCAACTAGAACATCATCTTAATGAGGACACATACTTTGTCTGTCTTGTATTCTAATGCCTGGTACAGGGCTTGGTTCATTGTAGGTGCCCAAGAAATATTTTTTGAGTGAATGAATGAATGAATGAATTTCTAAAAGAAACTAAGCCACAGTTTTAATGAAACCAGGCAATGGGTATTAAAAGCATTGGGGTTTGGGTAGGCTCTTGGATACATACATGGAGGTAGGCACAGTGAAGGCAGGAAGCTGAGGCACCTCCAGATGCCTGTCCCCGGGGCTGGGCCCTTCTTTCAGGTAAGGGGGCAGGAGGAGGAAGGGGCTTTCAGGAACATGGCGGGAGGTGCAATGCAGATTTGGAGGGGGTTCTGATGGGGCTGCATAGTTCCCCCCTGTTCTAGGAGCATTTGCTGTCTCAGGCATGCAGTGGATCTATGATCTGGAAGGGACTCCAGAAGGAGAGAAGTGAACTCAGGAACCTGTTTATCCTCTGCCCACCTGCCATCTTGCAGAAGAGGAGGCTGAAGTCCAGCCCCAGGATTAACACAGCATCCTGGCAGCAGGGCTGGCTCAGTCCTTCCCTGGCCCCACATCTCTGGTGTGCCTGGTCTTCATACAGCATTGGTACCTTCCCAGAATTGAGCTCCTCCCTTTTCACCCTGGTCGTGGGTAGTTTAGGGGTCTATTTGGAAGATGAGACCTGAGGCTCTGTACAGGAAGCCCCGTGGTCCCTGAAAGGCCAAACCTTGGACTCCCGGAAGATCTTCTCAAGTGCTGGAATCCATCTGCTGACATCTGTCCTCCGGGCCTTCACTGTGACCAGACTCCAGGAGACAGCAATGGGGCAGGGCCTGGAGTGGGAGGGGCCTGTGCCAGCCCAGGTCACAGGCCGTAACGGTGATGACCCCTCTGCTCCAAGTGACAATAGCAGCAACAGTAACAACATAACAGCACTGATTTAAAAATTCATAATACTGGGCCAGGCATAGTGGCTCACACCCATAATCCCAGCATTTTGGGAGGCTGAAGCAGGAGGATCACTTGAGCCCAGAAGATCAAGGCCAGCCTGGGCAACATAGTGAGACCCCTTTTCTAAAAAATTTTAAAAATTAGCCAGGTGTGGTGCTGTGCACCTGTAGTCTTAGCTACTCATGAGGCTGGGGTGGGAGGATTGCTGGAGCCCAGGCGGTCGAGGCTGTAGTGAGCACTGTTTGTGCCACTGCATTCCAGCCTGGGCAACAAAATAAGATCCTGTCTCAAAAAAAAAAAAAAAAAAGATATTTACTGAGCACTTACACTGTGCCTGGCACTGTCCTCAGGGCTTTAAAATATTACTCATTTATTTCTCACAAAACGTATGACATGTATGTTAGATAAGAGAATCGTGGCAAAGTCAAAGTCCCTGAATTGGATAATTACATGGGGGTGATGTTGTGATTAGGAAATGCACCCTAAGAACTTCATGGTGAGATGGTACAAGGCTACAACTTGCGAATGGCTCAACAAAATGAAGTAGATAGGTATGCAGATAGATGAATTCATATGGAGACATATGTGTCAACATATTAGCAATTGGGGAATACAGATAAGAATATACAAGTGTTCATGGATCTTGCAACTTTTTTATAGGTTTTAAAAATTTTTTAATAAAAAGGAAAACCAAAAATGTAAGGGCAACACTAATATTGTCCCCATTTTACAGATGGGGGAACTGAGGCACAGAGAAGTTAGCGCCCGTAGTAGATGCTTTAGAAATATCAGCTGTTTTATTATTTACATATGATGAGGCCAAGGCTCAGAGACACTCTGTAACCTGTCCACCATCGCACAGCAAGAAAGTGGGTGTTTGCCTTTGAAGGGTCCTATCTCTCTGACCTGCTAAGGTTACGTGGACCCCAGGCTGGCTTGGCTGGGGTAGGGGCGAGTGAGTGGACTCTCCCCATGCCTTCAGATCAGGCCCCTAGTGTCCTCCCAGCCTTCTCGGGCCCCTTAAGACAGGGCGAATCTTTGTGGAGCTCCCTTTCCTCCCTCTCTCCTTGCCCCTGCAGGAACCTCTCCTGGGAACCCTTACAGCTCTCCCTGATCTCCCCCATCCTCTGTGCACCAGCAGCCCCATCAGAGGGGCCTGGCAGGGTGGGGATATTTGCCAGCAAATACAAGCTATGTGTTAAACACTCCGCCAGCAGCTTCTCCACACCCGGCAATGTTTGCTCAGCAAACATCACTAATTTTCTGGTTTCTTGGGCTGTGCTGGAGCCCCTAGAGCAAAGCCTGTTTTTCATCAGCTCCTCTGACAGTTCCCTGTCCCCATGGCCACCAACCAGGCTCCGGGGCACAGAGTTGAGACCTCCTCCCAACACAAAGTCCCAAGAAGATCTGTGGGGAGAGAGAAGGCTTCTCTGGTTTTCTGGGACAGCATCTTTAACCAGAATTCCTCTAGTGCTGGGATTCTGGGATGTAGGAGAGGGGCTTCAATTATTTCTTGACTTTGAGTGTGTTTGGGGAGTTCTTTTCCTCTCTTCTGGTCTCTCTCCCATCCATCCTCCAAGATTCAGGAAGCCAGTTTATTCCAGTTCATATTCATCCGTCCATCCATCCACCCATCCATCCATCCAACCATACATACATACATTCAGGTTTTTTTTGAGCACCCATTTTGTGTCAGGGAGGGCTGGGTGCTGGAGAAACAGCAGTGCATATGACCAACCTGACCAGCATGATTTCTTGCCCTCCTGAAGCTGACATAATACAGCGGTTAGAGGCCAGACGCAGCGGCTCATGCCTATAATCCCAGCACTTTGGGAGGCTGAGGTAGGTGGATCACCTGAGGTCAGGAGTTCAAGACTAGCTTGCCAACATGACAGAGGGAAACCCCTTCTCTACTAAAAATACAAAAATTTGCTGGGAGTGGTGGTGGGTGCCTGTAATACCAGCTACTTAGGAGGCTGAGGCAGGAGAATTGCTTGAACCCAGGAGGCAGAGGTTGCAGTGAGCCGAGATCGTGCCACTGAATTCCAGCCGCGACAGAGTGAGACTCTTTCTCGACAACAACAACAAAAAAGCAGTGAGCAAATAAATCAACAAGGCCATTCGAGAAGGTGAAGAAAACAAAACAGGGTGATGAAGGGGGTGCTGCTAGCTTGCAAGGGTGGTGAAGAAAGACCTCCTGGAAGACGGGTTATGTGAGCTCAGCCAGTACAATTGACTTTTTTTCCCTCTCAGGCTCTGTATGGCTCAGCCTGGCACTGTTACAGGCCCTGTCTTTATTTAAAATGTGGATATCTTGTTCATCATAGATTTTTAAAGTGTAAATAACATAAAATCCATTCTGACCATTTCAAGGCGAACAATTCAGTGGCATCTAGTGCATTCGCAATGTTGTGCAACCATCACCGCTATCTCACTGCAGACCATTTTCATCACCCAAAAAGGAACCCCTTATCCATTCAGCAGTCACTCCCCAGTCCTCCTTCCCTCTCCCCTGACAATTGCTAATCTGCCTCTGTCTCTGCAGATTTGTCTATTGTGCAGTCATACAAATGCAATCTGTGGTCTCTTTGCGTCTGGCTTCTGAGCGTAATGTCTTCGAAGTTCATCCATGTGGTAGCACTTGTCAGTGCTTCCTTCCTTTTTATGGCTGAGTCATTTTCTTTTGCATGGATAGGGACCATATTTTGTTTATCTGTTTACCTGTTGCTGGACACATGGGTCATCATAATTTTTTTTTTTGTTTTTCATTTTGACTTTTAAAAATATCACATCAAAATTGCATTGGTCTACGGAAGAGGGTTTCAGAGAGAAGGAAACCTGCGTAAGGGCCTTGAAGGGGGATTATGAGCTTGAAATCAGACATTCTGGGGGAGGGAGCTCCAGGCAGAGGGAACAGCCAGGGAAACCCCTGAGGCAGGAATATGCTCTGGGCAGTGGAGGAGCAGTGAGAAGCCCAGATTGGCTGGAGAGGAGTGAGCAGAAGGAGAGGGTGTAAGACTAGGCAGGGGTGGAGGGATACAGGTGAGGGTGACAGGTGGCTGGACCAGGTAAAGCCCTACAGGCCAGGGAAGGGAGTGTGGATTCCATTCTGAGTGTGATGGAAGCCACTGGTTGGTTTTGAGTTGGTGAAATTATGCAATCTAGTTTCAGTTTGCAAAGCTCTCTGGCTGCTCCACGTATGTGTGGACAAACAGGAGGCAGGCAGGCTTGTTGAGGGGCTGTCCCTGGCATAGAGGTGAGACACCATGGGGGGCGGGCCTGCACCAGGGTGGTGGTGATGGCAATGGACTTGGAGAGAGCTGTCAGCTGCCACATAGATTTTGAATGCATAGAGAGATGATCCATTCATCTATTCAGTTGGCAAGCAATTACTGGACACTAACTATATGCCAGGCAGTGTGAGATACTAGGAATACAGGCAAACAAAACCAGACAAGGACTCAGTCTTCATGGAGCTCACAGTCATTAAACAAATAATTACAGATATGCTCAGCTGTGAAGGCCAAGGTGCAGGCATTTTGGCGCTATTGATCTATGGCTATTTCCAGAAATGGAATCCATCGTTCAGAGGAAGTCCCGCTGTGTCATTGGGAGATGTGCCAAAGAAAATTCTGCTTCTCTCTGATGATGCCATCAACCAAGTAGTCATTCCCAATGTCCTGCAACATGGCAGCACCCTTGGGATAAACACTTTGAAGGGGGAAACAACTGCTTTGGATGGTTGAGTTCTGAGCGGTGTTAAAAAAAGAACCAGGGACTGGGCGTGGTGGCACATGCCTGTATTCCTAGCACTTTGGGAAGCCTGGGTAACATGGTGAAACCCTGTCTCTACAAAAAATACAAAAATTAGCTGGGTATGGTGGCGTGCACCTGTAGTCCCAGCTACTAAGGAGGCTGAGGTGGCAGGATCGCTTGAGCCCAAGAAGTTGAGGCTGCAGTGAGCTGTGTTTGTGCCACTGCACTCTAGCCTGAGTGACAGAGTGAGACCGTCTCAACAAAACAAAACAAAACAAAACAAAACAACCAAAAAACAAAACACACACAAAAAAACAAAAACAGGGACTCTCCGCCCATCAGCTCCTCTCCCTCTCTGGTCTGTAGAGGAAAACTGGAGGCCTGCAGGGAAGCTGGAAGAGGCCCATTAGTTCCCACCAAGCCCCCTTCCTTCAGCTCTCTTCGGCCGCGGCCGGCTCCTCTGCAACCAATGATGAGTCATGGCAGGGGGCTGATTTGGAAGAAACGAGGCCAGGAGACCCTTCAGCTCTTGCAAAGGAGACACCCCATTAATCTTTAACAAATATGAAGTTCCACGAGGCCGGGCCCTCAACTAATGAGGCCTGGTTTCCCAGGGACTCCCCCGGGGAAGAGGAATTAACCACCAGAGGTACTCGCGAGCAGGGAGTGGGTCTTCTGAATGAGGGCAGGTTTTTCCCTAGACTGACTCATCAGGGGCCACCCTGACAGTTCCCCATAGACTCAGGCCATATGTACCACTATTCCCTGAATATGCCTCTTTATAGACACTTGCTTTTAAAAACGACCTTACGGAGGTGTAATTGACACAGAATAAATCGTGCTTATTTAACGTGTACAGCTGAGTAAGTTTTGATGTATTATACAACCATGAAGCCATCATCACAATCAACGCAACAAACATATCCATCACCTGCAAAAGTTTCTTCTTTGTAATTCCTCCCTCTCATTCCTCTCTTCCATCCCCAGGCAGCCACTGGTCTGCTTTCTGTCACTACAGATGAGTGTGTGCATTTTCTAAGGTTTTATATAAAAGGAATCATACTCTTTTTTTTTTTGGTCTGTCTATAAGTGAAAGAAACTCAGCATAATGCTTTGGAGAATCATCAATGTTCATCATTGTTCATCCCATCAATAGTTCATTTCTTTTTATTCATTTTAAATTTATTTTAAAATTTTATTATTATTACTTAGAGATGGTCTTACTCTGTTGCCCAAGCTGAAGTACGTGGTGCAATCATAGCTCACTGTAGCCTCCAATTCCTGGGCTCAAGCAATCCTCCTGTCTCAGCCTCCTGAATCGCTGGGACTACAGGTGCACACCATCATGCCCAGCTAATTTTAAAAAAAAATTTGTGTAGAGATGGGGGTCTCACTATGTTGCCCAGGCTGATCTCGAACTCCTGGCCTCAAGTGATCCTGCTGCCTCTGCCTTCCAAAGTGCTGGGATTATGGGCATAAGTCACCATGTCCGGCCCATTCCTTTTTATGGAGCAGTAGTATTCTGCTGTATGGATATACCACCAGTTTGTTTATTGATTTCTCTGTGTCCATCAGGACATTTGTACATCCATTCTCTTTTTCAAAAAATAAATTTATAATTTTAGGATAGTTTTAGACTTAGAAAGATTGTGAAGAAAGTATAGAGACTTCCTATATAACCCCACTCAGTTTCCCTTGTTATTAACATCTTAAATGGTTCATTTGTTACAACTAATGAAACAATGTTGAAACATTGTCATCATTAACTAAAGTCCGTACTTCACTGAGATTGCCCCAGTTTTTACCCAATGTTCTTTTTCTGTCCCAGGATCTATCCAGGATCCCACATTACATTTAGTTCTCAAGTCTCCTGAGGCTCCTCTTGGCTGTGACAGTTTCTCAGGCTTTCCTTATTTTTGATGGCCTTGACAGTTTTGAAAAGTACTGCTCAGGTATCTGGTAGAATGTCCCTCAATTAGGGTTTGTCTGATGTTTTTCTAATGACTAGACCAGGGCTATGGGCTTCAAGGAGGAAGACCACAGAGCTGGACCGCCATTCTCATGACATCATATCAAGGGTATGTCCACTATCATCGTGATGTGCCATTGTTGGCACTAACCTTGATCACCTGCCTGAGGTTGTGTTTGTCAGGTTTCTCCACTGTAAAGTTACTCTTTTGCCACTGTTTCCATACAGTATTCTTTGAAAAGAAGTCACTATGTGCAGGCTACTCTAAAGAAGCGGGGAGTTGGCTGGGCATAGTGGCTAGAATCTGTAATCCCAGCACTTTGGGAGGCTGAGGCAAGATAATCTTTCGAGCTCAGAAGTTTAAGACCAGCCTGGACAATATAGTGCGACCCCATGTCTAAAAAAAATTTTTTTTTAAATCAACTGGGCATGGTGGTATGCGCCTGTAGTTCCAGCTCCTCTGGAGGCTGAGGCAGGAGGATCTCTTGAGCCTGGGAGGTTGAGGCTTCCATGAGCTATGATCACGCCACTGAACTCTAGCCCAGGCAACAGAGCAAGACCCTGTGTCAGAAAAAAAACAAAACAAAAAGAAGCAAGGAGTTATGCTTCACTTCCTTGAGGGCTGAATATCCACATAAATTGTTTGGAATTTTTTTTTTTGCATGGAGATTTGCCTATTCTCACCCATTAACTTATTATTCAATCAGTTATTTGTTTATATCAGTATGAAAGCATGGATATTTATTTTATACTTTGAGTTATAATCCAATTCTACTCTATTAATTTTGTTGCTCAAATTGTTTCAGGTTTGGCCATTGGAAGCTCTTTCAGTTGGATACTGTATCCCTTTGACATGTTCTCATTATTCTCTCTCTGTGTGTGTGTGTGTGTGTGTGTGTGTGTGTGTGTCTGTGTGTCTGTGTGTGTCTGTGTTTGAGCACTTTATTACTTTCTGGTATGACAAGATGCTCAAAGCTCATTTTTTATATTTCCTTCCCCAACCCCAGAACGATCCATTTCTCCAAGGAATCCTGGTTCCTTTTATTGGAATAGTACTAAACCAAGATCTGGGCACTAAAGTGTGCTCATTGCTTCTGGGGTGTTGTGTCAAGGCCCTGTTGGCTGACAGAGCAACGAAATGTAGGCATGCATACATCTCTCTCTCTCTCTTTTTTTTTTTTTTTGAGACAGGGTCTTACTCTGTGGCTGAGGCTAGAGTGTAGTGGTGTGATCGTAGCTCATTGCAACCTCAACCTTCTGGGCTTAAATGATCCTCCCACCTCAGACTCCTGAGTAGCTGGGACTACAGGCATGCACCACCAGGTGTATAATAATACACCTGGCTAATTTTTTTAATTTTTTTTTAGAGATGGGGTCTTATCATGTTTCCCAGAATGGTCTTGAACTCCCAGACTCAAGTGATCCTCCTGCTTTGGCCTCCCAAAGTGCTGGGATTACAGGCGTGAGCCACTGTGCCTGGAATCTCTCTCTATTTTTATATGCATCTATCAGTATCTATATTAAGCTGAACATGAGTTCACACTGATGTCACCAATGCTAATGTATAATACTTGGATCATTTAGCCTCCTCTCTTTGCTTATCTGAAACTTTTCACTCCAACAATGAGAATTCTGGCTCCTACCATCTGCCTTCCATTTACTTAATTGTTTAATTCTGGTATACATGTATAGTGGTTTCAGAATTGTTAACCCATATGCTTGTGGGAAACAAGCTTATCAACTAGAGTACTGTGCTTGCATACAGTTCCTTTTGCCTTTAGTCTTTTTTTCCTTTTTTTTTTCAGATGGGGTCTCACTCTGTCACCCAGGCTACGGTACAGGCATGATCATGGCTCACTGCAGTCTTGACTTCCCCAGGCTCAAGTGATCCTCCCACCTCAGCCTCCTGAGTACAGCCTCCTGAGACTAAAGGTGAGCGTCACCCTGCCTGGCTAATTTTTCTATTTTTGTAGAGACAGGTGTCTCTACACTGGGCAACACTATGTTGCCCAGTCTGGTCTCAAATTTCTGGGCTCAAGTAATCCACCCATCTCAGCTTCCCAAAGTGCTGGGATTACAGGCCTGAGCCACCATGCCTGGCCCCATTTTGAGTTAATTTTTGTGAATTATATAAGGTCTGTGTCTTGCCTCTTCTTGTTATTATTGATTCATGTATTTATTTTTAGCATTTGGATGCTCAATTGTTCTAGCATTATTTGTTGAAACAAATGATCCCTTCTTCATTGAATTGCCTGTACCATTGTAGAAAATCAGTTGACTATGTTTGTGTACAATCCACTTTAAAATTAAAATTTACTTTCAGAAGAAACTTTACAGACTTACCAGCATCTCTTGCCATAAATATAAGGAGATTTTGAAAATAAAATAGAAATGGATATTATAGTTAAATACTCTGCTGTCTGCCATGATTTTGGGGCTGGGACTGGCAGCATCATTACTGAAGGGAGGTGAGTGTATGTGTTAGAGAGGTGTTCATGTGCATCTGCTCTCTGGTCCAACAATTCAACTCCTGGGTCGATATCCAAGAGAAATGAATGCTTATTTGCTTAAAACATGTACAAAAATATTTATAGTAGCCCAAATTCCACTAACAGGGGGATAAAACAGCAAATTGTTGATGGAATGCTATATAGTTATAATATAATATTATATATAAATAAGTATATATTATATATTATGGTATTATTGTATAATATAGTTATTACTGCATAATACATGATATGGTTTGACTGTGTCCCCACCCAAATCTCATCTTGAATTGTAGCTCCCTTAATTCCCATGTGTTGTGGGAGGGCCTGGTGAGAGGTAATTGAATCATGGGGGCAGTTCTCCCATACTGTTCTCGTGGTAGTGAATAAGTCTCACGAGATCTGATGGTTTCATAAGGGGAAACCCCTTTCACTTGGTTCTCATCCTCTTCTCTTGTTTGCCACCATGCAAGATGTGACTTTTACCTTCTGTGTCGTGATTGTGAGGCCTCCCCAGCCACATGAAACTGTGAGTCCATTAAACCTCTTTCTTTTGTAAATTGACTTTATCAGCAGTATGAAAACAGATTAATACAATATATATAATGTATATATTGCACTACAATATATATTATATTATATAGTATAACATATAGAATATAGTGTAATACCTATTATACTATAGTAAATATATAATAGTAATATAGTAATAATATATAGTAATAAAAATGAATAAACTACTGATGCATGTTGTATTAGGCTGTTCTTACATTGCTATAAAGAAATACCTGAGACTGGATAATTTACAAAGAAAAGAGGTTTAATTAGCTCATGGTTCTGCAGGTTGTACAGGAAGCACAGTGCTGGCATCTGCTTGGCTTCTAGGGAGGCCTCAGGAAGCTTACAGTCATGGCAGAAGGTGAGCAGTGAGCAGGCACGTCACATGGTGAAAGTAGGAGCAAGCGAGGGTGGGTCACTTTGAAATTACCAGATGTCACGATAACTCACTATCAGGAAGACAGCACCAAACCATGAGGGATCCACACCCATGATCCAAATACATTCCACCAGGCCCCAGCTCCAGCATGGGGGACTACAATTCATATTGAGATTTGGGAGGAGACAAATATCCAAACTATATCACATACAAAATGGATTAATCTCAAAAACATTACGCCAAGATAAAGAAGCCAGAAACAGGAGTTCACCCTGTATAATTCAATTTCAATGAAGGTTTAGAACCAAAAAACCAAGTCTACATTGATTGCCATTGGGACTGATCTGGCAAGGGAGAACTTGAGACAGTATTGTGGCAGGCTGCCGGGTGGAGGTGGGATAGAGAGTGATGTAATAATAACAAGGGGGAACATTTACCAAGTGTGAACTATGTGCCAGCCACTGTTTTTAAGACCTTGTGTGTATTAATTCATTTAATCTTCCCAGCAACTTCATGAGTGAGTACTGTCACTATCCCCATTTTACAGTGAAGGAAGCTGAGGTACTAGGAGGTCAGGCCACTTCCCCAAGGTCACACAGTGAAGTCAAGAAGTAGGATTCACACATGGCCTATCAAGTTCCTGTATTTTTCCACTCATTGTGCTGCTTCTCAAAGAAGCAAAAGGGAGACTGTTGGGGGTTAGTGGCAGAAGAAGATGGAGTTTTGGAGTCAACAAGCTCATTGGAGTCCTGAATGGGCCACTTGCTACCTGTGTGATCTTAGGCAAGTCTCTTAATTCAATTCCTCATGTGAACAATGGTGCTACCAGTCACTCCTACCATGTTGGATTTGGGGATGACACCCAGCACATAGCCACAGCCCAATGAATGGCAGTAAGAAAACAAATCATCTACATTTCTATAGCTATGCTGGGATTGCTTTTGGAGTCATAACTAGTGAGATTACTTCTCATTTTGTGGATGTGGAAACAGAGGCTCTGAGATGAGAGGGACTTTCCCAATTCCATCTGGCTGGAATTCACAGCTCCTGGCTCCTAGTGCAGCCTAGCACATCTCTGAGGGAAGTGGAGAAAGCAGTGAGCCAGGAGGGGCTGCAGAGAATTCTCCCATGTCACTAATGTACCCTCCAAGGTTTTCTAATAGGACAGCACATCAGAAAGAGTAGTCACAGAATGAGGTAGGAGAGATGATGTCAGATGAATAGGAGGGGAAATGGAGAGGTGTCTTTCATTCTTTGTTCACTTACTTATTCCTTCCTATTTATTAGGTGCCACTGCATACCAGGCATCAAGCCATGGACTGAGGAGGTAATAATCACTGCCATCATGGAGCTTATGGTTTCAAGAGGGAAGTTGCTCAAGCAATTATACAAGTAAATGAGAAATTCTAGCTGTGGCAAAGTGTCATAGAGGTGAGAAACATGATGCCATGAGCACCAACAACAGGAGGGTTTGACTTGGTTGAGGAGGTCAGGGATGGCTTCTTTGGGAAGGCAATACTTGAGCTAAAATCTGAAAGAAGAGTAAATATGTGGAGTAGTCATCAGGATTGTTCATAAATATTTGATTCCTTCTCTTTGTCCAGGGATATGCATGGTAGGGTTGCACTTTCCTGCCCCATTGAACCCAAGAGTGGTCATTGCTTCAACCAGTGAAATGTGAACAGAAGCAATGGCTCACTTCCAGGCAAAAGACCTCAGAGGCAGTACACATTTTGCAATATTCTATTTTTCCTCTATCATAGTTGCTAGCAATATTTCAGATAGTGCTTGCCCAGGGGCCTGGATCCCAGAGTGCAAATGAGAGTAAAAATGCAGGGCAGAATGCCCTGCTAAACCATGACAAACATGAAAAGTGTACAAGTAAAGGATGCAGTGATGAGTTTGCCATTCATTCAGCAAGTATTTGAAATGCCTACTGTGTCCCAGATACCAAGTCTAGCAGATTCATCCTAGATGGAGTGACCAAGGGGAGGGTGGTATCTGAGCTAGGCTTTGAAAAAGACATAGGATGTCGACTGCTTTAGAAGAAAGGGGTTGGGGAAGGCATTTCAGGCAGGATAAATATCACTTGCAAAAGTGTAGGTATATGAAAACTATCGGCTTGTTGGAGAGACAGCTGGAGGAGTAGAAACTGAAGACAGAAAAGCAGGTGGGGCAAAGCCTTGAATGCAGAGCTAAAGAACTGGGGGCCTTTCATCTGAGAGCCATAGGGAGTCACTGAAAAAGTTTGAGCTGAGGACAGTCATCATATAAGCTGTTCTTGAGGAACTGGCTAGGAAGCAATGCCCTGTGATGGCAAGGGTCAGAGAGTGCATATGGGAGCATTTCAGCTTGGAGAACTGTTTGGAAACTGATCCTTATAAATTGCTGGGGAGGAGAAAAGAGTCCTAGAGGGCTGTGATCATTGACTTAAAATGTTCAAAAAGCTCCAAGTGGGTGGGTGAGTGAGTGGGAATCATGGGTATTCTAAGAGAGCAAAAGTGGGTTCAAAGATAGTGATGGCTGGGAGGTATATTTGTTCCAGCAAACAGAACTTCCTGACAATGATAGCAACTATATTCATTTTCTTTTGCTGGCCTAACAAATTACCATAAATGTAGTGGCATAAAATGACACAAATAGATTTTCTCATAGTTCTGTAGGTCATAGTTCAGATGGCCTTTACTCGTCCTCTGCTTAGGGTTTCACAAGGCCAGAATCAAGGTATCATCAGTGCTACATTCCTTCCTGGAGGCTCTAGGGGGGAGTCCATTAATGTAGTTGGACAAATGCAGTTCCTTGCCATTGTAGGAGTGAGGTCCTCATTTCCCTGGTGGCTGTTCACTGAAGGATTGTATTTGCTCCTAGAGGTTGCCCACATTCCTTCCCATGCTTTCCATGTGCTCCCCTCATCCCCTCCACCACAAAAGCAGGTGGCATTTTTCTCATGCATCACTATGCTCAGGCAGGTGGAGACAAATTTGATTTCTTTTTTTGCCACATCTCCCTGACTCCAGCTAGAGAAACTTCTCTGCTCTTAATTTGTCATATAATTAGATTATACCTACCATTTGGGTAATCCAGAATAATCTCCCTTTCTTAAGGGTGAAACTTTAATTATATCTGCAAAATTCCTTTTGCCATGTATTTACACGTTCTGGAGAATAAGATGGGGGCATGATAGAATTTACTACAGCAACACAATAAGCTGACTCAAGTTGGTAGTGAGCTCGCATTTCTGGATGGCAATAAGCATTCATTCGTTCACCAAACATCCACTGGACACTTACCCTTTTTAATGTCATTCTCCTTAAATTCCATTGTGTATGTTATTAATATGGCTGTATATCAGCTTGTTTTTGTTAGTATTTGCCTTGTACCTCATTTTACCCTTTTAGTTGTAAGCTTTCTGTCATTTCTTTAAACAATATATAGCTAATTTTGTATTTTAACTGACTTGAGAATCTCAATCTTTTAATGGATAAATTTAGACCCTTTACATTTATTGTAAGTTATGTGGTTATAATTATTTCTGTCATTTTATTTCTTATTTTTTGATTACTATACTTTATTATACTGTGGTGTATGTGTGTGTGTTTCTGATTACTATACTTTTTATTTTCTCTTCCCCTTTTCCCTTCTCTGCTTTCTGTTGAATTGATTGAGATCATTGATTTCCTTTTACTGTTTTGGAAGTTATATATTGGATTTTTTTTTCCTTCTAGTGATTCTACATTTAAAAAATTCTTATTTGCTTATACTTATTTAACATCTATTCAGTGCCAGCCTAGTTGCAGTTATGCCTTCAGTTGGCAATTCCATTTTGGGATCCTGGAGAAGTAACTGCTACATTTGGAAGAAAGACAGAATGAGCTCTAGAGTCCTCTTGAGTTTAACATCTTGGGGATTTACAAGTCTGTAATTCTAAGATTTTAAAATTCGGTAATTCTCACACTCTGTACATTTTATTCTAATATTCCATTAGTTTAATATTCTAAAATTCTGTGGTTCCCTGTTCTTAATATAATTCTGAAATTTCAAGGACATGAGGCACCCTATATCTAGTACTTACAAAATTAATTAGCTTACTATTCTAGAATTTTTTAATTCTAAAGATTTACTTAGGTTTTAATTAAATTAGTAGTTTAAAATTACTTAGTTAAAACTAAGGTTTTAAAATTTTCTCTTTAAAACTGAAGGTTAAAAGGAGTTTCATTTTTAAAGCTTTCTCCAGTTCTAAAATTCTGTGGTTCTAAGTCTCCTATAAAGCTAGAATTTTAGAATTTACTGGTTTAATATTATAGAAATATATCTATATATTTTAGATATGGAGTCTCGCTCTGTCGCCCAGGATGGAGTGCAGTGGTGCGATCTCTGTTCACTGCAACCTCTGCCTCCCATGTTCAAGCGAATCTCCTGCCTCAGCCTCCCAAGTAGCTGGGACTACAGGCACGTGCCACTACACCCAGCTATTTTTTGTATTTTTAGTAGAGACGGGTTTTCACCATGTTGGCCAGGATGGTCTCTATCTTTTGACCTCGTGATCCGCCCACCTTTGCCTCCCAAAGTGCTGGGATTACAGGCATGAGCCACCACGCCCAGCTGAATTCTATAATTTTAAGATGTTATTGTTGAGTCTTCTAAAATAATACAGTTCTAAATGTCTCTTGAGCTAGTTTTTAAAATTCTCTTGCTCCAAGGGTCTAAGATTCAATCTTAGGTCTCTTGCAGAATCTGCATCTGGTCTCAGCCTAGGTCTCTTGCAGAATCTTGCAGAATCTCTGAGGAGGCTGAAGCCAATCAGTCTACCTTCCTCACACTTGATCCCAGTGCAACCAGCTCTGTCCCAGGTTCTCCTGGGACTGACTAGTCCAGTTCTGGATTAAAGTCAGGCTCTGGCACCTGTCCCTGGAATAGTACTTGAAGATCAGCAGTTTCACCTGGCTCCATCACAGGCCAGGTCTCCTTAAATGCAGTGAGGCCTGGTTCCCCTGGACCCATGAGCCCTCAGTAGCATGGAGGTGCTGAGCAATTTAACGAAGTGGCCGACAGTTGATTGATGATGGGTCCTTTAGAAAGTAGGACACAGGACCGATAAGTTGTGCTGAGAGTTGCTTAGATGGCAGGCTCTTGTACCTGGTGTAGATGGAGATATGACATGTTTCTTCTACAGCCTTTCCACCTTTCCTATTTTGAAATATTGCCTGGAGCCAGTCCTTGCTAAAGGCCAATTTTCTTCTCCATCTACCTACAATTTATGGTCCTTCCAGATTGCTATCTTTGCTAGGTAACAGAGATGAGTGAACAAGGTAGGTGATCATCTTGGAGCAAATAGAGAAGTCAAAGCAATTTCTCCTCATCCTACCAATTTCTTCCTTCACATTCCTTACATCTCTTGGAGAAGGCATATCAGGCAAGAGTTTTTCAGTTGCAAAAACAGGAACCCCACTCTGTCAGTTAGAATTGTATTTCCTTGAAATGCAAATATAGTAGCTTAAATAAGCAAAGCGTTTACTTTTCATAGGTATTAAGAAATCCAAAGATAGGCATTGCATTTGTAATTCAGGCAGGAAAAGGGCAAAAGAGCAAAAGGGCAAAGAGCTTTCTTTTGGGGTCTTGTCTTTTTATTTGGGAATGACATTTCTCCCAAGGAGTCATTGCTGAGAACTGGGTCACATGGCCACTCAGAGCTACAAAAAAGTACAAACAAGTGTTTCAGAGAGCTGCATTGCTATATGAAATGCCAATAGCATTGGAAAGGGAAAATGAATTCTGATCGGTGACCAGCAGCATCTGCCATACCCATTAAAACTTATGTAATTGGAAAACAACTCTAGGTGTATGCAGGCTTCAGGCATAGCTGGATCCAGGGGTTCAGTGTTGCTAGATATAGTGGTTACTCTGTGTGGTTCCATTCTTGGTGGCAAAATGGCTCACAGGCTGGGTATGAACCCAGCACTATAATTCCAGCACTTTGGGAGGCCAAGGCTGGAGGATCACTTGAGCTTACAAGTTCAAGGCCAGCCTGGGCAACATAGGGAGGCCCCATCTCTATTTTAAAATAAAATAAAATAAAACAACAACAACAAACAATAACAACAAATGGCTACCAGAAGCTGCAACTGACATTACATTAGTTTAGCAATCCCAGGAATTGAGAACACTCAATTTTGTTGTTGTTGTTGTTGCTGATAGTTCCAGCAAAAAGCCTAGACTAGAGTCTCATTGTCCTGGCTTGGATCACATGTCCATCCCTGGATAATCCATTATGCCTGGGGACAGAGCTTGTGGTAGAAAATATACTCTGATTGGTCACAGTTGGGCAATGTCTCTCCCTTGGAGCTTCAGGGAAGGGTCAGCCCCATTGGAAACATATGGACTGAGACCAGGTGAGGATGAGGCACCACAAAGGAGAAGGGATATTGGGCAGGTAAAAGTCACTAGTTCCCACTTGGGGATGTGCATGTGCTTTCTTCATTATGCCAAGTCAGCATCAACAGAGGATCAGCCAAGTTACTGGACCTTGAGTCATAAGTCACAAGGTTTGGGATCCACTCATTCATTCATTCATTCATCCATCCATTCATTCATGCATCAAATAATCCTTACATTTCCTGTGTGATTCAAGCTGGCCACACTCCTTTTCAATGGCTTCAGTGTCCTTTCTGGCATAGGAGTAGATACTCCCATAAAATCCCATAATTTTTAAAAGTGTGAACCCCAGGCTCAGACACCTTTGTTTCATTCCAGGTTCTGCCACCTCTGTGACCTTGGGCAAGCCACTTCCCCATTTGGATCTAAGTTTCCCCAGTGTCCATAATCCCACCTACTTATTGGTTGTTGTGAAGAGGGTGAATGAGATCATGAATATGACACATGTACCTGGGTCCTGGGCTATAGTTAGCACTTCCTATCTGGTGGCTATCATCATCATCATCATCATCAGCAGCAGCAGCAGCAGCAGCAGCAGCAGCATCAACATTGTTACCTGTCTCAGGACACTGGCCAAGAATACTTTCATTGAATTGCAAAGCATCTCAATCAAAAACAAACTGCCAAATGCCAAAGCTCAGTACCCCCTGTCTACCCCTTGTCCTGCCCCAATCACCCCCCTTTTCCAGTTTTTCCTGGGCCAAGAGAAGAGTCTCCCTGTCCCAGGAGCTTTGGGGACGGCACGCTGACCCCTTCTTTAAATCCATC
This sequence comes from Homo sapiens, assembly GCF_000001405.40. Taxonomy (NCBI): domain Eukaryota; kingdom Metazoa; phylum Chordata; class Mammalia; order Primates; family Hominidae; genus Homo; species Homo sapiens. The sequence continues at coordinate 113,634,554 of NC_000012.12, forward strand.
TCCCTCAGTGTTCCAGGCCCATCCCTATTGGAAAAAAATGACTCTCACAAAAGACCCCTCAGCAGCAATTATCTAAATGGGAGGCTGCGAGGGGGAGAACCATTTAGAATCCACTTCATTGCAGGATTAGCTAATTAATTAACGGTTTCACTGACAACTCGTTGGAGAAGTGTATGTTAAACAGGAGCACAGTGGGGCGTGATTTATAGACTCTGACACCCCCCCTAATCCCTGGCCTCTCCACCCAGGCTCCCTCTTTCCCACCCCCACCCTTCTGCTCACCCCCAGAGCAGGGAAATCTGTGGGGACCCTCTTGCAAGCTCCCTCTGGAGTTCCAGGGCTGGGCTGCTGGCCGAGGGGGACCCTATGGAGTTGACAGAAGGGCAACTGAGGAGGGGGTGGGCTGGGGAGACAGGGGACAATGAGGAGATAACAAGAGGGCTGAGGCCCCAGGGGTGGCTGCATCTGCCCCTTGCCCCCAGCCCAGAGCCCCTCCATCTGTGCCCATCCCGGCACGTGGGGCCCTGTAGGCACCTGCTGGCCACGGCTGTTTCCTTGCTCCTAGAGTTCAGGGCTTTCCAGAGCCCCCCCACTCTCTGCTTGGAAGAGACAGCACTGTTCAGGGAGCCCAGAGACTTGGCTTTGCCTTTCTTTTGGGAAGCGGGTTTTCAGAGGACGTAAACTAGACTAGAACGAAGGGCAGGATGTCAAAACAGGGCAAGGAAAAGGAGAAGAAGCCAGAAGTGAGGACGATGGACAAGAAGCCAGTGGTAACATCCTGGACGAGGGTTTCTCAAAACACACCTCATGGGCCACCTGTGTCAACACAACTGCGGTGGCACATGAAACACACAAATGTCTGACCCAGACAGATTTCATAGCAACCCAATATCAAACCCTGGTGTGGGCGCTGGGTATCTGACTTTTAACACCCTGATTCTGAATGCCATGGATGTTTAGGAGCCCGACTTAGGGCCGGGTGCAGTGGCTCACGTCTATAATCTCAGCACTTTGGGAGGCCGAGGCAGGTGGATCACTTGAAGCCAGGAGTTTGAGACCAGCCTAGTCAACATGGCAAAACCCTGTCTCTACTGAAAAAAAAAAAAGAGCAAAAAAAAATTAGCCAAGTGTGGCGATGTGTGCCAGTAATCCCAGCTACTTGGGAGGCTGAGGCAGGAGAATCACTTGAACCCCGGAGGCGAAGGTTGCAGTGAGCCGAGATCACTCCAGCCTGGGGGCCAACAGAGTAAGACTCCATCTCAAAAAAAAAAAAAAAAAAGAGCCTGACTTAGAAGCTTGCTAAAGGAGAACGACAAATTTGCTGTATACCGAGAGCCCACAGCAAAGCGGAGCCTGCATTCCAGCTTTGGATCCTTTCTGCTACCAACGAGGTTCTAATCTGGGCTTCAGGGGTGCTGGGGTGGATATGGGAACCTCCTGAGGCTGCAAACAAAATGTTCTGAATGTAGACAAGTATTTTTCTGGGGAGAGGGTCTGGAGCTTACATAAGGCTTAAAGAGGAACGTAACCCCAGATGAGGTTAAGCATCTTCAAATTAGCTTCTCTGAGCTTCAATTTCTTTGGCTGCGATTCTAGAAGAATCACCTCCGTCTCACACACCATAGGGGAATGTGAGCAAAAACACCAGCAGAGATATACATGCTCTCCAATGCAAGGCATGAGGTGCCCCAAAAGGGATCCTCTCACCCTATCCTCAGAGGGCCCCATTTCTCAGTTATTAGGGGTTCAGTCAGCAGTAACTGAGAGGAAAAGCAGGAGGGAACCTGGGCTGGGTCGTGTTACCCGGGGAAATTCTCCAAGGAGGAATGCATCACAGAGGGCTGGATGGGAGCCACCTTGCCAGGGACTCCCAGGGACAAGGGTGGATGGGAGAAGAGAAAAGGGGCCACACCTGCCAGAGCCCAGCATCGAGGCATCTGGAAGGGAAGGAAAGGAATTCATGGTGCTCTGTGTGTCTCCATTTTATAGATGTGCAAACAGAGGCATTATGAGATTAAGTGATAAAGCCAGTAAATAATGGAGTTCCATAAATGTTTGATACATTATAAACATTCAGCAAATGCTTAAATATCATAAAATATATATCAGAAGATTAGAATAGTTCCCGGCACATAGTAAGGGCTCAGTAAATGTTATTATTATGCATTATGTTTACCTATATGCATAGGCCCCACTAGATGGTTGACCCATTTACTGCTCACAATGGCCTCCTAAGGCAGCTAATGTAATGTTCTCCACTGCACAGAGAGGAAACTGAGAAGGTAGGGGACTGACTCTCTTCTAAGGTCGCACAGCCTAACCTGCGGAGCCTGTCTCAGTGTTTCTATGTGAAAGGACAGGTTAGGGGTCCCAGCCTGGCCTCATTGAGCGCCCCAGAACCCACAGACCAGCACTGTGCTGCCAGGGATGACTTTGTGTGACCTTGAGGCCAGCCTCTCTCCGAGTCATCTGTGAGACCCCTTCCAGTCCTCTGGTTTTGAGCTTTTTTTTTTTTTTTTTTTTTTTTTTTTTTTTTTTTTGAGACGGAGTCTTGCTCTGCAGCCCAGGCTGGAGTGCAATGGCACCATCCTGGCTCACTGAAACCTCCACCTCCCGGGTTCAAGCGATTCTCCTGCCTCAGTCTTACGAGTAGCTGGGACTACAGGCACGTGCCACCATGCCTGGCTAATTTTTGTATTTTTTAGTAGAGATGGGGTTTCACCATGTTGGCCAGGCTGGTCTTAAGCTCCTGACCTCAAGTGATCCGCCCGCCTCAGCCTCCCAAAGTGCTGGGGTTAGAGGTGTGAGCCACCGCACCCGGCAAGCGTTTTATATATATACATATATATACACACACATATATATACACACACACACACATATATACATACACACATACATACATACATACATGCATATTATACATATATATTGGCTTTTCTTTTTTAATATATGAGAAGGGGGTCTCACTATGTTTCGCAGGCTGGTCTTGAACTCCTGGGCTCAAAGTAATCCTCCTACCTCAGCCTCCCAAGTAGGGGACTACAGTGCTTGCCACTATGCTCAGCTGTTTTGCTGTTGTTCTTCACTTGATCTTAGCCAAAAGGCCGAGAAGCGATTTTGCTGTTGTACTTGTACATAAGGGGGTCTCACTATGTTGCCCAGGCTGGTCTCAAACTCCTGGGCTCAAGCCATCCTCCCACCTCGGCCTCCCAAAGTGCTGGGATTACAGGCGTGAGCCACAGGTTTGAACGCCCGGCGCCGGGTCCACCCTCTGGTTATCAGGTGGGGAGGTGGGGCTCAGAGAAGTCCAGGCACTTGGCCTAGGTCACACAGCACATCAGGGCGAGCGGAGGAGAACCTTGACCTCCTGCCCTCCCCTCCTCCCCTGCTCCCACCGCCCTACCCCCACCCCTTCCCCAGCTCGAGTTCAAGGACGCAGAGAGGACGGGAGGGGGTTAAAGCCCATTCAAACGCGCAGCCCCCCGCCCCCGGCTCGCCCCCCACTCCCCGCCGGCCGCCCGCATCTGGGCGCGCAGAGGAACAGATTTCGCGTTTCACACAGCGCACAATGGCCGCCCTCAAAGGCGCGCCGCCCGCATTGTTCGGGCCGGCGCCCGCGCGTCCTACCTCCGCGCGCGAATTAACCCCCGTCACCCCGCCATTGTCACCGCGCACTTCGGGGCCGGCCACAAAGGCGCCAGAAAACCCTGCCGTGTTCGGAAGGGTGGGGGGTGGGGGGCTGGGGGGAGGGAAGCAACAGGGACTGGAGGGAGGGGGGCACTGGAGGGATGGAGAGGGCTTGGAGGGGAGGGAGGCCACCGGGGAGAGGGGGCGGACGCAGACTGGGTGGGGGGGCCTGGAGCAGGGCGTGGGGGCGCAGGCTAGGAGAGGGGGCGCTGGGAGTAGGCGGGTAGGAGGGAAGAAGGGGGTGCATAGGCTGGGAGGGGTGGGGGGCTCTTGCCGGCTAGAAGGGCTGCTGGGGGCGGGAGCTAGGTGCAGGGCGGAGGGGCTTGGGGGCTGCCTGTCCACCCCTGTGCCTTCGGATCTCTGATTAGCCTCCTTTATCTATTCCGCCTCTGGCTTCTCTGTTCTCTTCCTGCGATCGTCTCTCTCCGTTCTTTCTCTTGCTGTCTCTGTGTCTGTGTCTATTTTTCCTTTGCCTCTAGTTCTCCCTCGCTTTCTCTCTCTCCGCCTCTTATTATTTGTCTCTCTGTCTCTGTCCCTCTCTCTTCATCTCTGTATCTATTTCTTCCTCTCCTTCTTTCTTATCTTTTCTTTCTTTTTTAAGGCAAGGGCTTGCTCTGTCTCCCCGGCTGGAGTGCAGGAATGGGATCCTGGCTCACTGCAGCTTGGATCTCCCTGGTTCAAGTGATCCTCCTGCCTCAGCCTCCTGAGTAGCTAGCTAGGCCACCAAACCGCGCTATTTTTTATTTTTTATTTTTGGTAGAGAACGAGTCTCACTATTTTGCCCAGGCTGGTCTTGAACTCCTGGGCTCAAGCGATCCTCCCACCTCGGCCTCCCGAAATGCTGGGATTACAGGTGTGAGCCAGGGTGCCTGGCACTGTCTATTTCTTACTGTCTCTCTCCGCCTGTCTGATGATCTTTGTCTCCCTGTTTCTCTCGTTCCCTCCCTGACTCTCAGTCAGTTTACCTCTCTGTCTCTCTGTCTGCTTCTGACAGTGTCTCCCTCTCTGTTTCTCTTGGCCTCTTGAATTCTCTGTCTCTGAACATGTGTGTCTGTCTCTCTTTCTCCAGGATAAAGAATGCTGGCCTCGGTGGGCACCCACAGTCCCTGCAGTTGGACTACCCTGCTCCCAGCTCCCATAAATAGTTTGGCTGATACCTTGAGGACTAAAGAAGTGCATGGTGGGGCACTAGTCCCAGTGGGGCTCCTCATCTCCTGTCATGACCCCCTCAGGGACTGGGACTGGTACTCTCTCAGGGACTGGGTTTCGATTGTCCCTAATCTTGTCGCATGTTAGAGCACTTGCATGTGCACATTTGCGCACGCACACACGCACACACACATGCACACACGCACACACACACACACGTGCGCGCCTTTCACTTGCTCCTCCGTAGTGGCAGAAATCAGACCCATTGTACAGATGGGGAAGTTGAGGTTCAAAAGATACAGCCACCCACCCAGGGCCACACTGTGATTAGAGGCCCTCTGACTCCTGGGCCTTTACACCCATCTATAGGAGGATGGCCAGACCTGGTTGGTGAAATTGAAGTACCCCCACTCCCACTCAAGGCCAGTCCTCTAGGTATGGGAGACCTGTCTGAGGAGGAACCTGGTAGGACTCCACAGCCTCCCAGAGGGCACATCCTGCTCAGGTGACCTCAGCCAGGGTCTCACCTCCAAACCAGTCCAAACCCAAGGGACCTTTCAGAGGTTCCCCTATCACCTTCCCCAAAGACGAGGCACAGCTGCATTTGAATCCTCTTCCAGTGCCGGCAAATTACCTTCTGCATTTAGCCTGAGTCGCTCATACAGGAAAGTGCCCTCAGGCCCCAGACTCTGGGCCTGGCTGGGGAAACTAATAATGCCCATGCCCAGGCAGTACTTACCATGAGCTGGGCAGCGTACTAGGGAATCTTTAACTCATTTTCATTTCCACTTTAAGAGGTTGCCGATGTTATCCTCATTTTTCAGATGGGAAAACTGAGGTACAGAGTGTTTAAGTAACTTGCCAAGCTTACACAAAGCTGGTGGTATATACTGATGGCATAAACAAAGTAGATTTGGTTCTAATATGTCTGTGTATATATTTATAGGGACAAATATGGATATATATGTATAGGTGTGTGATATATATGTAAATATCTCTATAGATGAATATAGACATATACGTGTGTGTGTTTGTTAGTATTGCTATTGTTATTGTAGTTACAGTTTTTGGCTTAATCTGTTTGAATAGTAGACTGATTCTTGAGCACGTTTCTGTTCCTCTAGAGCTTTGTGATCTTTTTCCCTACAGGGGCATTGGGAATCTGGGGAACGGACCTTAGGGCCTTACAGAATTTGTGTTTTTCCACCTTTTGATCTGATGAGCAGCTAAGAGAAGCCTCTCTTCTCCACTTCCCCAACCACGCTGGCTCCAAGTGCCCCCTAGGCCAGGCCCTTGAAGGAAAAATCAAACCCTAAATTTGAAGGTCACTGAAGCTGTCCCTCCACCCCCTGTCAATTTACTAAGAGAGGGTTAGAGGAAAAGTAACCCCTTCACAACAACGTCCAGAGATGTGTGTGTGGTCCTTGGTCAGGAACCAAAATGGTTCTGTTATCTCATGTAATCCTTATAACAACAAGAGAAGATAGGTGCTATTAAGATTTCAAACCCAGGTCTACTCCAAGCCCCTGGCTCATGAGGATCTCTAGGTGACTTCTCTGTTCTCTGCCCTCTGCTCATGCCAATATCATTGAAGCATAATGGGAAGTTACCTACTGCCTCCTAATGAGTCGATTTACCAGTCTGTAAAATGGGCATAATGTTGCCGCTTCTCCCTGGGGCCTTGTGAGGATTAAATGTGGGGAAGCAGGTGCTCCCAGAAAGTGTAGTTTAGACTGTGTCCTCTCCTCCTCGCACTATCTTTCTCTGTTCTACCCTTCATCTACTTGTTCCTCCCCGTATCACCCATCCATCCCTTCCTCCACCTCCACCCCAGCTCCCCGAGTCAATATTCATAAAAATAACTAAGTTGTCCAAATGTGACCTGCAGCATCCTGGGCGATTCTTTCTTTCTGGCTGGTGCCTTGGGTCTCCTGGGCAGGCAGGTCCCTATGTCCCCCAGTCCCCCATCTTGGGGACAGCTTGGCGGGACCTCAACTCACCGTCCCCTGCTCAGCTGTGGATGCCCTTCTGACTGCCCTCACCCCTCACTTGGCTCTGGTTCCCCAGTGCACCCAGCTGGGATGTTTCCCTGCTGGAGCCTTCTGCTAGGCTGGAGTGGGGTGATGTGGAGGGGGGACAGACAGCCAACGTGGCTGCACAGCGTCCTCCCCCTGGAGAGAGAAAGCCCCCAGCCAGGCCTGCTGGGGGTTAGATAAGGAGCGCAAGCCACGCAGCTTGTCCTCTTTTTTGTAATCTCCTCCTCCACCTCCACCGCTCCCTGCCACCGACTCCCCCACTTTTTTTTTTATATCATCTTTATGGCTTTGGAATGATCTGGGCTGACACTGCGTTCACTTAGCCAAGGGCAGGTGGGGTCACAGGAGACAACTTACTCCTATGTGTATATATTCATGGGGGCCGATAAGGGAGCAGCCCCACCCCCTCCTCCCTAGCGGGGAAGAGAGAATAAGGAGACTGGCTGGAGGAGAGGTTGGGGACATGGTGACAACCAGTTCAGGGCAGAAAACAGATTTTGAGCACCAGAAACCCTGCGGTGGCAGAGGCGAGCTCTCAGGGAGCTGTGGCCAAACCTCTGATGGGGAGAATCATTTAAGTTTGAAAGAAGCACTGATTGGCAAAGGAACTGAGTTTTTAAGCTTATTACTTTCTTTCTTTCTTTCTTTCTTTCTTTCTTTCTTTCTTTCTTTCTTTCTTTCTCTTTCTCTCTTTCTTTCTTTCTCTTTCTTTCTTTCTTTCTTTCTTTCTTTCTTTCTTTCTTTCTTTCTTTCTTTCTTTCTTTTTCTTTCCTTTTCTTTCTTTCTTTCTTTCCCTCTCTCCCTCCCTCCCTCGCTCCCTCCCTTCCTTCCTTCCTTCCTTTCTTTCCTTCCTTCCTTCCTTCCTTCTTTCCTTCCCTCCTTTCCCTTCTCCTTCTTCTTCTTCTTTTTTTTTTTTTTTAAAAGATGGAGTCTCTCTATGTTGCCCAGGCAGAACTCTAACTCCTGGGCTCAAGTGATCCTTCTGCCTTGGCCTCCAGACTAGCTCTGCCTAACTAGATGAACTGAATTTTATCTCTAAATATTCTTTTCTTCCTTCCCCGCTCCCTCGCTCCCTTCTTTCCTTCCCCCTGCCTCCCTCTCTCCCTTCCTTCCTTCCTTCCTTCTTTCCTTCCTTCCTTCCCTCCCTCTCTCCTTCCTTCCTTACCTCTCTCCTCTCTCTCCTTCCTTCCTTACCTCTCTCCTCTCTCTCCTTCCTTCCTTCTCCCCTCCATCCCTCCTTCCTTCCTTCCTCTTCCTTCCTTTGCTCCCTCCCTCCCTTGCTCCCTCCCCCTCCCTCCCTTCTTTCCTTCCTTCCTTCCTCCCCTTCCTCCCTCCTTCCTTCTTTCCCTTCTTCCTTCCCTCCCTCAAACAGTAGACCTTGAGTTTCAGGACATGGTTTTAGTTGTTACCTGGTTCGAGCCTGGCTTTTGCAGGCTGTGTGACACTGGGTAAGTGGCTTCACCTCTCTGAGCCTCAGTTTCCCCATCTATAAAATGGAGACAGTAACAGAGCCCACTTCCAGCTGTATTATGAAAACTAGATGAAGAAATTAATGAACGTGCTTGGCACATAGTAAGGGTGGAATCATTGCTGCCTGTTATTTTTCTAAATTATTATTTATTGCATGCATCTCATGTACCAGTGGGGCACAGAGACGAATCGCACAGCCTGTGCCCCCAAAAGTGCTCACTGACATGACAGCTCTCATAAGCAACCCCAAGTTATGTTTTTAAAATAGTATTTTATGTCTGGGCAGGAATACAGATATGTTCACAGCGCTCAAAAGAAAGGTGATACTGAACTTATGAAGCAGATAAATTAGGGGTGATTATTCTCATTACAAAAGGATACGCTACAGGGATTCTTTAAGTGGTAAGTCCTCTAATACTGGAAGCGTGGAAGCCTTAGCTGGAGCTCTCTCTGCCCTGGCTCCCCCACAGAGCAGTTAATGGTGGTGAAATGAGAGAGCCTGGCCTGAGACAGGAACTCCAAATTTGCACCTCATCACTGACTGATCAGGCAGCCTGGGGCAGGCAGTGTCCCCTCTTGGACTCTCAGTTTCCCCAATGACTGGACGACTGGATGGGATTGCATCTCTGCAGCGTCCCCATCCCCGTCTGAGCCCAGATGACAGCTTTGCTACTGGCCTCTCTGCTTCCACTCCTCCCCCAATCCCTTCTCCATATCACAGCTGCAGGGATCTTCTAAAAGCCCAAATCAGTTTCCCCTACATAAAACCCTCCAGTGGCTTCCCCTAACCCTCAGGACCTTACCCTCGCTTCCAGCCCAGCTGATCTCATCTGTTCCCCTTTCCACCTTGCTCCTGCACCTCTAGCCTCGCCAGTGCATTCCTACCCCAGGGCCTTTGCACTTGCTGGTCCTTCCTGGAACTTTGCCTCAGGCCCCTTTTCTTGTTACTAAGTTTCTAGTTGAAATGTCACCATCTTAGGATCCCCCATCTAATAAATATCTAGTACTCACTGGATCATTTTTGTTTTATCTTTATTATCTTAATTGTACTTGGCACTGATATGATCATGTGTCTTTGCTTCTTTAATGTCTTTCATCTACCAAGAATGTTAGCCAAGGACAGAGACTGGGTCTGTCTTCACTGTTGGCTTCTCAGCCCCTTACATGGGAACTGGCACTTAGGAGGGGCTCAGCAGGTATGTGCTGAAGTCATCATTGGACTTCGATGTTTCAATATACTCATTTTAGGTGTGTTTAAGTTTTGTGCAAAGGAGTGAGTGATTGGTTTCCTAACTTTTGGAAAGTAAAGATGATGTGAATCCAGTCATATAGGACCGTCTCCCTGATGCACCTGCGGTCAGGCTGGTGCTGTCTTGGGTCGAAAGCAAAGGAGTGGACTCAGAACCAGCCCCGAGGGGACATGTTACCCCTGGGTGCAAATAGCATCAGGATCTGGGGCTGCTCACCACAGATACCATGATGGAAAAGGTCACCGGCAACTGGCCTGCATGGTTTTCATGTCTTGGCCACGTGGTTCTTTAATTATTTTTATTTTCATTTATTTATTTTGAGACAGGTTCTCTCTCTGTCACCCAGGCTGGAGTGTAGTGACTCAATCATAGCTCACTGCGGCCTCAAACTCCTAGACTCAAGTGATCCTCCCACCTCAGCCTCCCAAGTAGATGGAACTACAGGTATGTGCCATCACACTTAGCTAAGTTTTATTTTTATTTTAAAAATTATTACTATTATTATTATTGTATTTTTTTTGTAGAGACAGGGTTTCACCATGTTGCCAGGCTGGTCTCAAACTCCTGGGCTTAAGGGATCCACCTGCCTCAGCCTCCCAAAGTGCTGGAGTTACAGGCGTGAGCCATCACTCCCAGCCTTTATTTTAATTTTTTTGTAGAGACAAGATCTCACAATGTTGCCCAAGCTTGTCTTGAACTCCTGGCCTCAAATGATCCTCCTGCTTCAGCCTCCTGAGTTGCTGGGATTACAGGCGTGAGCCGCTGCACCCAGCTTTAGTCAACCAAGACAGCAGCAATGCAAAACAAAATGAAGGCGCTCAGAGAGACACAGGGGACATGCCGAGGAGCCCTGGAGGAAGGGGAGAATTATTCTGATGGGAGAGATCTGGAAGGACGAGGCTGGAGTGAGATGGAATGGTGGAACAGCAGGCAGGGGATTGGGCTTGCTGGTACCTGGTTCTGGGAGTGGGGGCTGGGTCTTTTCTTTCAGGTTCCTCTCGTTTGGAATTGATTCTGATGCTCCTAAAAGATGGTTCACCTGATCCCCTTGAAATGATCATACTGAAGTAGGTGCCAGAGGGGACCAATAGTTACCAAGAACTTACCATGTGCTGGACCTACATAAAATATTTCACTTGTGCTGCTTGACTTAATCTTCACATTGGCTGATGCCAGCCAAGTGATGGTATCCTAATTTCAGGGATTCGGAAACAGGCCCAGAGAGGTTGTGACTTTTCTAAGCACACACAGCAAATAAATGCTGAGGCTGGGATTTGAACTCAAGTCTGCCTGGTTTTGGAGCCAGTGCTTGCCGGAGACATCAAGATGCCTCCTGAATTCAAGAAGGGAGGAAGGGTGATGCTGGGTGCTGTGAGAGCAGGGATAAGATTTAGGAGCAGAAGGTACAGTGAAGAGGGGGCCATAGGTGGGGGTTCAGAGGTGGAAGGGAAGAACATTCTGGTCCCAGAGAAGACTCCTGCCTCCAAGCTCCCGGCCCCACTCTACCCAGCCCTCTCTGCCCCTGGCCCGGAGCAGCCCCGGGTGGGGGACGTGGGGAGGAGAACTAAGCATCATGTAATTGCCCTGGCTCTTCTGTGAAATTTGTTTCGGGACACATTAGTTCCAGTGAATTTAGCCGAACAGCGGGGAGCCCTGAGAAATGATTTGCAATTAGCCGCAGCCCCATGGCCCCCCATTGGGATGCGAGGCTTGGGCACTGAGTGGGGAATGGCCAAGGGGATGGAGCCGCCACCCAGTGCCCGTGGAAACGCCAGCAAGCAGGCAGGAGTGGCTGAACTGGTGCATTTCAGACCCGACGTCTCTCTGAGCCTGGCAGAGGCTGACAGGGGCTGAAGTAGAAGCATTTGACCCCCAAACTATCAAGGCCAAGACTTAGCCAGGCCAGAGGGGCATTCGAAATGATCAAATCCAATTCTCCTGCTTTGCAGAGGGGATGCGGGAGGTGAGCATTGCACATGTTCGCCTCTGTGGGGACGGCTCCTGGAGCATCTCCTTGTGATCACTGTGCCGGGTACTTCTCTAATCATAAATCCTCCCCAACAGTTGGGGAGGCAGGGAGATGATGCCCATTTTGCAGGGAAGGAAATGGATGCCCAGAGAGATGAAGGGAATCTTGCCAGGTTAACTGGAATGTGGCAGGAGGAGGACTTGAATCCTGGCCTCTTGGACTCTCCATGTCGTTACAGCTGCTTCCTTTGATGGCCTCTAAGTGGAGGCAGAATGGCAGTCATTAGGGCCCTGAAGCCAGGCACACCTGGCACAAGTCTCAGCTCTACCACTTTCTGGCCTTGTCACCTTGCACAGGTCACTTCTGCTCTCTGAGACTGTTTCCTCATCTGAAAAATAAGAATACGCTACCCATATCATGGTGTATCTTCTAGGATTAAATGAGAATATAAAATGTTATGGCAACGGGAAGAGCTCAATCAGTAACCGCCATTACTATTACTATCATTGATTGATTGATTGACTGATTGGAGACAGGGTCTCACCCTGTCACCCAATCTAGAGAGCAGTGGTGCAATCATAGCTCATTGCAGCTTCAAACTCCTGGGCCCAAAGGATCTTCTTGCTTCAGTCTCCTGAGTAGCCAGGACCATAGGTGTGCCCCACCATGCCTGGCTAATTTTTAAAACACTATTTTGTAGAGATGGGGTCTCACTATGTTGCCCAGGCTGGTCTCTAACTCCTGGCCTCTAGTGATCCTCATGCTTCTGCCTCCTTAATTGCTGGGATTACAGGCTGGGATTATACCATGCCCACCCATTATTGCTATTGTTATTATTGCATCCTGATCAAACTTGTCTGTAGAGGAGGGAAGGGACTGGAGAAAGATCCCATGTTCCCAATAGGTGGCTGCTTGCCCACATACATAGCCTTCCCAGCTCAGTTAGTCCCCTCTGTCCTAGTCATGGGGTGGGCATGGAGATGATCAAGACATAGTCCTGGCCTCACACAAATGCTTCTGGAGTGAGCTAAGCAGTTGGAGCCGTGGGTCTTCATGGCACACAGAGGTCTCGTGGAATGGGTAGTTAGGGAGGGCACCTGAGGGGAGGTGACTTTGTCCCAGTATTGTCCCTGTCATATTGGTGGATCTCCATTGTACAACCCCAGGGGGCGCCCTTCACATTGTGTTTGATGTCAAGCAACACAGTGGCTGGGATTTTGATAAAAATGGCAGACACTCGCCATATGCCAGACACTATTCTAAGCACCTTACAAATTTTATTAGCTAATTTACTCCTCACAGTAATATTACCAGGTAGGCCCTATTATAATTCTACTTTTCAATGAGGAAGAAAATAAAGCAAAGAAGTCTTTTGTGCCTTCCTTCTCCCTGGTCACACAGCAAAAGGCATTGCTGAGACTCGACCTAGGCTAGCTGGTTCTAGAACCACCCTAATCACTACACTACTCTGCCTGCTTCCCCAGGGCCCTTTTTCCCTCCTGCTGGTCACTTGCCATACTTTGTCCTCCCCATGAATAAAGGAGGCAGGACAAGAATGTGAATCTGGGCCTGGCGCGGTGGCTCTCGCCTGTAATCCCAACACTTTGAGAGTCCGAGGTAGGTGGATCACTTGAGGTCAGGAGTTTGAGACCAGTCAACCAATGTGGTGAAGCCCCATCTCTACTAAATAGAAAAAATAGCCAGGCATAGTGGTGGGTGACTGAAATCTCAGCTACTCAGGAGGCTGAGGCAGGAGAATCATTTGAACCCAGGAGGTGGGGGTTGCAGTAAGCCCAGACCGCACCACTGTACTCCAGCCTGGGCAACAAAGCGAGACTCTGTCTCAAAAAAAAAAAAAAAAAAAAGAATGTCAATCTGGCGCCCCAGGTAAGACCCTCAGGGGCTTTGCCCAAGGTCTCACACATGCCCTGAGAATGCCAGGTAATGACTCAAGATTGGCAGTGACCCCATGCTGGGGTCTGATCTGAAAGCCAGCGTGCTTCCTGTATGGCATGAGGATGTGATCAGCCATTTAGCTAAGGGGATCCAGGGCCCCACAGCTGCTCAGAGATTCTCCAGAGAAGAGGAAGAAGAGGAGGCAGAGAAAGAGGTGGCTATTTTATGTCAGCAGTCACCCTGCTGGCTGCTGGTGCAGTGCCGGGCACATAATAGGCCTTTAGTAAAGTGAACTTGGAAATCTTGGAGAAATAAATCATTTCCTCCTTAGCCTGACATCTCAGAGATTTGTCCAGCCTTAGATTGTAGCAGGAATAGGAAATTCCTGATTTCAAAGCAGGAGTGAAAGAAGAAAGCTAGTATGTGGTTAAGAGTTTATATGTGCCGGGTGCAGTGGCTCATGCCTGTAATCCCAGCTCTTTGGAAGGCCAAGGCAGGTGGATCACTCGAGGCTAGGAGTTTGAGACCAGCCTGACCAACATGGTGAAATCCCATCTCTACTAAAAATACAAAAATTAGCTGGGCATGGTGGTGCGCACCTGTAGTCCCAGCTACTCGGGAGGCTGAGGCAAGAGAGTCGCTTGAATCCAGGAGGTGGAGGTTGCAGTGAGCTGAGATTGTGCCACTGCACTCCAGCCTGGGTGACAGAGAAAGACTGTCTCAAAGAAAAAAAAAAAAGTTTATGTGTCACTCAGTTCAAGAAGAAAGAGCCAGACAGATGAGTCTTCACGGCACGCAGAGGTCTCTGTGGGCTCAGGTGGTCAGGGAGAGCTTCTAGGAGAAGGTGGCCTTGATCTGGAATTGTCTCTGTTATGGTGGAGGGCTTCACGTTGCACAACTCCATGGGGCTTTCACCTCCCTCCATGGAGGCCAGAGAGGTAGGTCTCATCTTTCTCAGGTCTACAGATGAGGAAACTGAGGACCAATTGCCCAATGTCATGCAGCTAAAATGTAGGGTGACCAGCCCTCCTGACTTGCCTGGGGCTGTCTGGGTTTAGCACTGAAATTCCCACATCCTAGGAAATCCTTCAGTCCCTGGCAAACTGGGGTGGTTGTTCACCTCATTTTTAGGGACAGGGCTGGGATTTGAACCCAAGACTGGCCGACCCCCGCATCCCCTTGTCCCTCTGCACCATCCTGTTCTTTTTGAGTTCGCTCCCTGTTCCTCTTCTGAATTTATCAGCTCTGGTTCCCTCGGTCCCCGGAGAACTGCCCTGTCCCACGCCTTCTGCGCATCTCCCCAGTGCCCGGGGCTGTGCTTTCTCTCCCTCCAGCGCCTTATCTTCCCTTGTCTTCTTGTGGAAGAAGAGATAAAAGTAATTCTTATGGCCGCTTCACCACTGGCGACGGCCAGCCCCGTCCCCCTCCTGCTGCATTTCCCTGGTCCGGCCAGATAAAGGGTTAGGCCTAAGCACATGTCATTTTCTTTGTGTGAAATCAATATTCAGCAAAGTTTATCTGCCCGACATAGCAGGAAGTGCTAATTTCATCCGCGTCAATTATTTTGATGAATGTTCATAATGCCCGGGGTGTGAGCAGAAGATAAAAGAATTACTGGAATAACGCATACGTACTCCTTGCACACACACACACACGCTCGCCCACAAGTTCACACTGGGGCACACACAGGCCTGGCCAGGGGAAGGTGTTAACTGACAGCTGCCCTGTCCTCCCCAGCTGCTGATGGTTCAAAACATCTCCGAAAGAGGGATCAGGAGAGGGGATTTGTGTGAGAGTGTTATCAGTCCTTGATTTTTAGGATAGAACAGAGGTTCTCAACTAGTGGGTGATTTTGACCCCCAGGGGACTTTTGGCAATGTCTGGAGCCATTTTTCATTGAGGAGGGGAGAGGCTACTGGCATCTGGTGGGTAGAGGTCAGGGTTCCTGCTAAACATCGTGTAGTGCCCATCACAGCCTGAAAACAAATAATTCTCTAGCCCACACTTCAGCACTGTTGAGGCTAAGCTATATTAGAATGGAGTTTTAAAAAATTTTACTTTTAAAGCATTTCTCTGTAAATACATGTTTCTAATTTCTAGCAGTACTGGCAAGAAAATATCTGTGGGTTTGCCCATATAGTTCTAAGATAGGATGAAGAAACAAGAAATCAGATGCTAAATACAAGTAGAGAAATATTTTTACTTAGGTAATTCCACCTCCTGGTGATTCCCTGTGACATTTAAAAAGATATGGTAGAATAAAGACAAATCTGAGTTTTAAAAATTGGCCTGGTAGAAATTCTCACAGGCTATAAGCCATGGGCCAAGCCATAGTCAACAGAATAGGAATGCTAGGAATGAATTCTGGAGGGTCTGAGAGTCTCTCTTGGATGTGTGTGTGTGGGGCTCTGCAGGTGAGGGGGCCCTTGGTCTGCCCCTGGGGTCCTGCCACGTGTGAGTGGAGGCAAACATCATCCCACACATATTTGTCATCGCAGGACATGTACACAGACCGGAGGACCCCTGCCTTCTACTTAAAAGCAGCTAAATTTGAGTGTCTTGTCGGACAGCACGTCTTAAACTGTAACATGCTCACAGATCACCTGCAAATCTTATCAAAATGCAAAGTCTGATTCAGCAGGTCTGGGGTGGGGTCAGAGATGCTGCATTTTTGACCAGTTTAGTGCAAGAAGCCAAATACTTTTTCTATGAGTCTGGCCTAAACTACGTGTCATAGATGAGGTGCTACAGGCTATGTGGTGCTGGGATTTTTCTGCCTTCCTTCATGTCAGCCTCCAGAACCTGTGAAAAACTCCTCGCCTTCTAACAAAAGTCAGCAGCACATACAAATATGTATATTTTTAAACAAATATATCTGAAGATGCCCCTTCTAGGATGAAATGCTGCATGTCGATCACATAATATATGATGTTGTGAGCAGATGTCATGATATAATATGATAAAATATTATGAGCAGATGATATGCTATTTATTATAAGCGGGTGATATATGACGCCATATTACGATTATGGATGATGATGTATTGTGTATCCTGGCATATGTGGGAGATTATGTATTCACATGCTCTGGCACAAAGAGTCTGATTTAAGAACTTCCTTCAACTCACCTACCTCTGGCTCTGCCAATCAAAGTCTCTCTGCTGAGTGGGACAGAGGATCAAAACTCGTCAATCCTTAGGACTAAGCCATGTGTGGATTTGAGATTTCTGGGGATTTTAGGCCCATGGGCCGTGAATTCTGAATATTCTGCAACCTGCTCAGGGCTTTGGGTCTGCAAGAGCTGGTTCTCAGATCCATTTGTAGCATGAGTAATATTAAGAATAAAATTTCTGCAAGCCAATGGCCGGTCCAAGGCATGTAAAGAAAAAGCTGGATATACTCATGATCTTGAAACCAAATTATAACGAGCAAAAATGGAATCAAGAGAGGGAATATCTGAAAGTAATAACAGGAACCCTTCAGAGTTCATTTCATCAAAGCAACCGTCAGGTGAATACCAATGCAAATACTCTGTAGATAAACAATCACTCCTTGCCAATTTGGAGGGAAGGAGAGAGCAAAGAGGAGTTTGAATGAATAGCACATCTGAAAACTAAATATCCTCCAATGAAAAAAAAATCCATTTCCTGCACATCAAATTCTAAGGTCTTGCATTTTTAAATGCAGAGGTAAAATTCACTGGTAATTAACAATTGCAGAGGCAATAAGAGGCAGCGCCTTGGGGTGCAGACTCTGGAGGCAGCCGGCCTAGGTTCAAGTCCAGGTTCTACCATTTCCTGGCTGGGTGACCTCAGGCAGGTTGCAGAATGCTTTGTGCCTCTATTTGCATGCCTGTAAAATGGGCATAATGGCAACTCTTGTCTCACGAGGTGGTTATGGGGATTTAAGAGACACAAAGTGCTTGGGGCAGTGCCTGGCATACAGGAAGCATTCAGCAAATGCCCAATTTTTATGTTATTACCAATGAACCTATCTACCCAGCAATTAAAGTGCTGCACTCCTTAGACAGTTACTCTTCTGAAGAAGCTGAAATGCGCTCCCTGAAATCTAGCTTCAACATCAAAAGTGTGCCCAGCGCACTGCTGTTGTCAGTGGAGTGGAGGTGGACCTTCCCCCAGTGGAAGTGGCATTATTGTTAACGGTCAACTGGATGGAGGCTTTGGTGACTTCAGGGTCAATGAAACACTGAAAATGTGTGTTGACAATTACTTGACATTAATTACACTCCCCATTCATGAAGTCCCTATTAAAAAGAAAATAATAACCCAAGACCTAGATTCATAAGCTTAGGAGAAAGGGCTCCCTTACTGATTCTCACTAAAGTGGATATGGCTATCGTTGATGACCCAAAAGAGTGGTCTCTTTTCATCCCCAAGCTCTCTTCCCACCTCGTTCCACTTCCCCTGAGGCTCAACCCCATAGGTGGCTTGTTTTTCATCTAAAGCAGGATTGCTCAACTTGGAACCATTGGTATTTTGGGTCAAGTGATTCTTGTCATAGACATGCTGTCCTGTGCGTTTTAGGATGTTTAGCAGCATCTCTGAACTCTGCCCACTAGATGCCAGGAGTGTCATCTCCTGAGTTGTGATAGCCAAAACTGTCACCAGACATTATCAAATGCTCCCTGGGGAGGCAAAAACATTCCCAGTTGAGAACCACTGATCTAAAGACTCCCAAGGTCCTCAGGGTACCTGCCTACCATCTTTATGGGGACCAACTGTACCCTTTGTTTACAGGCTGAGGCAGCTAGCTTTCCCAAATGCTATTCAAAAGAGAGGCAGATTCATAGGCTAGGATGTCACCCAAGCAATTGGAATAGGAGGCTCTTCACACAGCACTCTCAGTCTTTGATGAGTCAACTAGATGGTAAAGGAAACAGAGAGGATCTGAATAAGGCAATTAATAAATGTAAATGAAGAGAGGCAGAAGGAGAAAGTGTGGTGGAGAGCGGGTGGATTTTGGAGACAGACCTCTTGGGCTGAAATCCTGGCTGTATAAACCTTGTTATTTAAGGTTTCCAGGCCTGAGTTTCCCTATTCACATGGCGAGGATACAGGTGTCAGTGAGTTCTCTGGAGATAAGTGAGATGATGTCTGTAAATTTTATGCTGTAGTGTCTGGTCCTTCTCAAGTATTCAATACTAAGAAGCTATTGTTACTAACTTTATCAATACACACGCATACCTCTATATCCTACAGACATTTGTGATAATGTAATTGTTTATATAGTTTTTATTTTATGCCTGTCTTTCCACTAGAACATAAGCACATAAAGGCAGGAGCCAGGGTGGACTTTTCCACTGCGGTATCCCTAGTCCTAGCAAATAGTTGCTGCTCTGTGTTTGCCGAATGCTGGATACACTTTCAGATGTGCCCTATACCCTAAGGGAAGTCTGATTCTGCAAGTAGTTGAGTTTCTACTCCTATGTCAGGGCAGTTAGCTGGAGGTATCTACAGTGGAAATACCATCAGTCACCCTTGTGAGCACACCCTATCTGCCAGACTCTGTACTTAGTACTCATATTGGTTATTTATTGCTGTGTAAAAAATTACTGCAAACTTACTGGCTTATATCGACACATATGTATTATCTCATAGCTCTGCAGGTCAGGGGTCTGAGCATGGCTTAGCTGGGCCAGGGTCTCCCACAAGTCTGCAATCAAGGTGCCAGTGGGTGCTGAGATCTCATCTGGAGGCTCAACTGGGGAAAGATCTTCCAAGCTCACATGGTTGTTGGCAGGATCCGATTCCTCGTGGGCTGTTGGACTAAGGTTCCTCAGGGGTGCTGCCCTCTGTTCCTTGCCATGTGGGCCTCTCCATAGGACATCATACATCATCAAAGCCCATGAGAGAGACACTCAGCTAGGAGGACAGAAGTTACAATCATGGAAATGATATCCCATCACTTTTGTTGTATTCTATTGGTTTGAAGTGAGTCCCAGGTCTTGCTCCCACTCGAGGGGGAGTTGTTGGGGGAACATTACACAAGGGTGTGGATAGTAGGAGGTAGGAGCACTGGAGGATGTCTTAGAGCAGGGCTGTCCAATCTTTTGGCTTCCCTGGGCCACACTGGAAGAAGAAGAATTATCTTGGACCACACATAAAATACATGAATACTAGCGATAGCCAATGAGCTAAAAAAAAAAAAATTGCAAAAAAATCTCATAATGTTTTAAGAAACTTTACAAATTTGTGTTGGGCTGCCTTCAAAGCCATCCTGGGCCACATGTGGCCTATGAGCCATGGGTTGGACAAGCTTGTCTTAGAGTCTGGCTACCATAGTCCCTTATAAATATTACCTTGTTAAATCCTCACCACAGCCCCATGGGACAGATTTTTTTTTTTTTTTTTTTTTTTTTTTGAGATGGAGTCTTGCTCTGTCACCCTGGCTGGAGTGCAATGTGCAATCTCAGCTCACTGCAACCTCCACCTCCCAGGTTCAAGTGATTCTCCTGCCTCAGCCTCCTGAGTAGCTGGGTTTACAGGCATGCACCACTATGCCCAGCTAATTTTTGTATTTTTAGTAGAGATGAGGTTTCACCATGTTGGCCTGGCTGGTCTTGAACTCCTGACCTCAAGTGATCTGCCTGCCTTGGACTCGAAAAGTGCTGGGATTAAAAGTGTGAGTCACTGCCCCTGGCCTTGGACAGGTCTTATTCCCATTTTACAGATATGGAAAAGAGGAAAGTCATGGGTGTCACAATGATGTTGTGATTCAGTCAACAATGACCAAGGAAGACAGTGTTGTCACTGTGGTACCTGTGGTATTGGACAGAGTCCACATTGCTGTGGCCACTCCAATGTGCTGTGACTTTCAGCTTAATCCAACTTGGGGTGTTATATGACTGAGTTCCTACAGAATACCATAGGCTCCAGAAGATAAAAAGCTTGAAGGATGCAGCTAGTTTAAGCATGGCCGAAACTGGGAGTTCAGGTCCCCTTTGAGAGGAGCTTGTCTCTGTCTACTCCACGGGATGCCTGGTAGAGTTGGGACATCTAAGATGTTATCACCACTCACACGGCACCTCAGCAAGGATGGTTCTCGTGGCAGGGTTGGCTGCAACTCTTTGACTGGGGTCACATGTCTGGGGACTCAGTTCTTGCCCTTGGCTAAATTTCTTGGTCTTCCTCTATGACATCTCAGGTTCTCTTTCTCCCCACATAACCTGTCCATATAGTCTTTCTAGCAATGTGGCCAGACTTCTTACAAAACAGCTCCAAGAGGGAACATTGCAAATGGCAAAGAAGGAAGCTGGAGATCTCTGAAGGCCAACCTTGGAAGTCACACAGCATCACTTCTAGCACATTTTGTTGGTTAAAGTGAGTCATGGGGCCAACTCAGATTCTATGTAGGAGGGAACTAGACAAATGCGTGGCTACCAGGACACCTGGCTCACGGGGGACTGTGTAAGAAGAGTTAATGTAGCAGGTCTGATTATAGGGCCGGTCCGTGGCTGGTATCTGGGAACTTGGCTGTTGAAATGTTCCCTATGCTATAAGGTTGTTTTGCCAAGCTGCAGGCACCAACACCAGCTTTCTTTCTGAGAATCTGGAATTTTGAGTCTTGTGGCTGTCTATGTGATGAGCCCCCAGTAAAAACATGAGCTTTTAGTCTCAGATGGACTTCTCTGGGCAGAAACATTGCACGTGTGTTGCCTCATCTTGCTACTAGGTAAAGGAGCTCTTTCAACGTCCATTCCTGGGGAGGGAGGGAAAGAGCATCTGAAGCCTGAGTGTGGAGCCCTCACTCAGATGTTACCTGATGTGTCTTTCTCTCTTGCTGATCCTGCCACTGTAATAAATTACAGATGTGAATATAAAACCTCCATGAGTCCTAGCAAGTCACTGAATGTGTGGATGATCTCAGAGACCCTTGAAACAGTGACCATCTCTCAGAAACAAGCTACCACAAATGGGTGCTCCTAAGGCCCATAATGGGAATCAGGATTCCCTTTGGAGGCCAGATGCCAATACCAGGTACTGCCTTACGTCTCTGACCTATCCCACCCTGCTTCCTGGAAAATGAGAGTCTAAGAAGTTTGATTAAAAGGAAGAATATGAGTACTTCTGGATACTCCCCCATAGGGGGCATTCTGGCTACACGTGGTTGAGGGCAGCATCTTTATGAAGGTGATACCAAAACTTGAGTTGCCTCTAACCCCTGCAATCTAATCACAGCGCAGTTGGTCATGGTAGTATTATTGACATGAGCAAAAAATAGAAAACAGCCTAATGTCCAACAGTAGAAGGCTGGTTAAGTAAATCACGGCACATCCATCAGATCTAGTCACTGAAGTGAGGTTTTTGGAGAGTTAATGGCAGGGATGTGCTTATGATATACTATTAAGTTAAAAAAAGATTAAATAATTGCTTAAGTGTGATATTATCACCATGGATCTCGCTTGATGTTGTTCTAATTAATTAATTAATTAATTATAATTGCCTCTTTCCTACTAGGCTGTGAGCTCTTTCAGGTGGAGATTTTGATTTGCATTTTGTGTTAATGGCAAACATTTTATTGGGCACTCACTATGTGGGTTGCAGGTACTCTGTTAAGTATTTTACATGGTTTAATCCTCATAACAGCTGTGGTAGAGTGACTGCATCAATGGCCCCATTCCCTGTATCCCCCTACTTTGCAATGTGACTTTGTAATTCCTCCCCTCAAGGGTTGGAGTTGGTTTCTCTTCCCCTGGAGGCTGAGCTGGCCTTGTGACTTGTTTTGACCAATAGAATGAGGCAGAAATGATGACATGCTAGTTCTGAGCCCGGACCTCACAAGAGACCATCTGCACTTCTGCTCTCTCTTGGGGCCCTGTCTCCGAAATGAGGACAAGCCTGGGCTGGCCTCCTGGAAAATGAGAGACCACGTGGAGCAGAACAGTCATTCCAGCTGAGTCAGCCCCCAACCAAGCCACCAGCTGATTTTAGAACTGCTCAACTGACAGTAGACTTAAGGACCATGATAAATAGTGATTGCTGTAAGCAATTGAGTTTTTTTTTTTTTTGCGGGGGGTGGGGGGCAGGGAGGGGATGTTGGGGTTTGTTACACAGCAATAGCTAACTGATACAATAGCCCTAAGGAGGTAGGTTCTACTATCCACATACCAATCTTATGAATGAGGAAGGTTTCAGAGGCATTAAATAATTTGCCCAAGGTCATGAAGTTAATTAATGCTGGAGGGAGGATTTAAGCTCATGCAGGCCAACTCCAAAGTCCTAGCTCTTACCTTCTACACATACTGCATCTGTATTTCCATGACAGCACAGGACTTGGCATGTAGTAGGTGCTCAGTTATTGTTACTTGAATGAATATTTTACTATTCATTCTAAATTTTAAGCAGATCTTTACCAAAGCATTAACAATGGAAAGCGCTGAGCGGAGGAATCATGGATTTTAAAAAAAATCACTTATTTATATATTTGCTTTAAAAGGAAAACCCACAAAAGTATTATTTACAAAAAAACAATACACAGAGATCAGAAGAGTGGAGGACACGGCTGGTCTTGGGAAGGTCCAGAACTGATCATTTCTTCTACAATGTTGTCAAAGCCAGGTGGCAAGTCTTACCGTTCTAAAGTCTTCCCAGTGCTCTGTTGGTCTCACGCAAAGGCCAGATTCCCACCCCAGCCTCTCACATTCTCTGTTTGAGGGAGCAGAAGCCAGCACTCTATTTCCTCACAGATCCAAGAGCATCCTGAGAAATCCAAACACCAGGGCATTTTCCTATTAGTTTTTGTTGCTCTATTTTTTCAAATAAGGGAATAACAAATGTCATATAAATTACACAATTTAGTACAAAATGTAGTTTAGCCCCAAAACAACAGCTGACAAAAAGAAAAAGAAACTCAGCAGTCTACTGAAGAAGAACTTCATTTAGCAGATAATTTAGAATCACTAAGAATTAGTTGTCTTAAAATCAAGAAATGCTAACAGTATTTCAATGATCTTATTGCTGTTACTAACTGGGGAAGTCTTTGCATAATTAGCAATGTGGCTCTTTGCAAGAGCAACATGTCCCTTTCATGTGGAAAGATGGGATTGAATTATCTGTGGTGTCTTGTGCATGTTTATGTAGGCTTTTATAAGTGTCACCACTGATACATTCCTGGACCTGAGCCAGATCATGTAATGTTTGGCAGGCATTTGGTGTGGGCAGGAAGGAAGAAGTTCGGTGAATGGCTGGAATTATTTCTGCAATTCTTGGTATTGGCAAGGGAGGTCTGAGTCCTTAGTTTCCCAACTGAGACTCATGTCTGGACAATGGACTCATGTCTGAATCATGGTCTGGGTAGGAGTTGAAGTTCTAGGAGCAGAGGAAGGTTAATGGCTTTATTGGGTCCAGAACTGATTATTCAGCAGTAGTGTGAGGTGCAGGCATCAATTTAGGAGATAGTCTAAATTCTTCTTCTTGTATGCAGCCTTTGGGAAAGGACTTACTGGATTGTTTTAGTCAGTAGAGGCTAGGTCATGCTGTGTAACAAACAGTCCAAAAAAAATCTCATGGTTTAAAACAAAGAGGGTTAATTTCTTGCTCATCTCACTTGTCCAGTGCAAATCAGTAGGTGCACCACTACTCACTGAAGTTACTCAGGAACCCAGCTAGAGGAGCAGTCACTATTTTTAGGACACTGCTATCTCAACATATGTTTCCATAATCCATGCAGCAGAGAAAAAGTGTGCTGGAGAATCAAGTACAAGCAATTAAATGTTTGACCAAGAAGCAACACAATTACTCTTGTTCAAATTTAATTTGGCCAGTCACATCACCACATCTAATTTCAAGGGAAAGAAGACTTGTAACCCACTTGTACCTGGAAGTAGAGACCTAGCTATTGATGAACATTAATGATGTCTACTTCATGCAATAAGAGATTTTTGGGGTCTGAGAAATTGGGTGACCAGGAGTGGCTACCTCTAGATATGAACCTTATTAGTTATTAGCAGCAGCATTTCCACCACTTATTATTTTTGTACCTCTTTATATTCTACAAAGGGTATCCACAGCTTACTTGATCCCTTCAGTAACAGTAACTGACATATATTTTTAAACCGGTAACAAGGTAGCTACCAGGCACTTTCCATATGTTGTCTCACCTAATTCTATGAGCACTGTATTACTATAAATCCCCGTTTTACAGACAGAGCAACTGAGGCTCAGAGAGGTTAAGTGACTAGCCCAGCGTTACACAGCAGTAAGCAGCCATGCTTCCAATTCTAGCTGTGCTTTTCTCTTACGGAAGGAAAAAAAAGGGTTGACAAGTCCGAGATGGTTGATTATGTGAAACTAGTCACTTAAGTTAGCCAGAAAACCTCCTCTTTGAATGACTAAGTAGACTCAGTGATCGTTTTAGGCAAAATCTATGATTTCCAAATTATCTATTTTCTCCCCTTCCACCAGATGTATCTTGATCTGTCTTGAAGGCAGGCATCAATGAACAGAGCAGGGGTGGGTTGGTTTGCGGGGTGCAGTGTGGAGGGGAGGGGAAAGAGGCTTTGCGATGGTGCTGAGCAGTGGCAGTCTCAGGGGCGCAATCAGCAAGTGTCCAGAGGTGGGAGGGGGCTTCTTAGCAAGCTTAGTGTGATCAGAGGTGATGCCCCATCTGTCTCATTGGAGCCTCAGGCCATCTGTTTTCCTGCTGTCTCCAGGAGCTGCTGACCTGACCCCTTTCACCAGCATTTAAAGGAAGAAGTTTTGAAACATGCTTGTGCCAATGAGCCCCCCAAAACCGTGAATCAGAAGGAAACGTTTTAGAGCAGCATTGTTTGATAGAACTTTCTGCAACTGTGGAAATGTGCTTCTGCACTGTCCCAATACGGAAGGCAGTTGCTACATGTCTTGAAATGTGGTTAGTGGGAATGAAGAACTGGGTTTGTCATATTATTAAATTTACATTAACTTAAACATAAATAGGCACATGTGGCTGTGGCTACCTTATTAGATAGTGTAAGTTTAGGAAGCACTTCCTAAAGAAGACACACCTTTACGTAATTCACAGACAACAATTTTTTTGTTTGTTTGTTTTGTTTTTCTGAGACGGAGTCTCGCTCTGTAGCCCAGGCTGGAGTGCAGTGGTGCGATCTTGGCTCACTGCAACCTCTGCCTCCCGGGTTCAAGTGATTCTCCTGCCGCAGCCTCCCGAGTAGCTGGGATTACAGGTGTGTGCCACCACGCCCAGTTAATTTTTTGTATTTTTAATAAAAACGAGGTTTTGCCATGTTGGCCAGGCTGGTCTTGAACTCCTGACCTCAAGTGAGCCACCTGCCTCGGCCTCCCAAAGTGCCGGGATTACAGGCATTATCCACTGTGCCTGGCCGGACAACAGTTTTAAATAACCTACAATTACATGATGAGAAGTTATTCTTTCTGTTGTCTTCCTCCAACTTTGGGATTCCAGCCAGGAGGAAGTCTTCTTTGCTGCTGATAGGTTTTTAACACTTTTCTAACAATTGCTCACCTCCCTTTTCAACAAAGAGGGCAAAAGCAGGCCTGGGGCCTTCCACAGATAAATGCATTTGGCTTACATTTAATAGCATCGTTTTGTTATTTTTACTTGTATTTATTTGTATGGTTACCACCAATTTGTGGCAAGAGAAACAGATTTTCCATTTATGGTAGTGATACAGAGTTTCATTTTAAAATAAAAATTTAAAAGTAGAAAAAATGAATTCACTTAAATAAAAATATTGAATTGGTGGGACAGTGAACATATGGAATATAGATATGAAATGGATTGTGATGGTGGTATACTAACGGCCAGGTTTCTTCCTAAGCCAGTGTTATTTTTTAAAAATAAAGTTTATATTTTGGAATAACTTTAGATTTACAGAAAAGTTGGAAAGCTAGTACAGAGGCTTCTCATATATCCTTGGTCCAGATCTCTGCTAAAGTGACCATCTTACATAAGCCTGGCATATTTGTTGAAACTGAGAAATTAACACTGATGCAACACCATGAACTAAACTCTAGACTTTATTTGGATTTCACTGGTATTTCCACTCATGCCCTTTTTCTGTACCAGCATCCATTCCAGGGTACCACAATGCATGATCTAAGCCAATCTCTTCCCACCTTTCATCTGTCAGGATGCCAGGCTTGTCTGGAAGAAGATGCTGGAACCAGCCCAGAAACTTCCCAGAATAGTCCTGCAGCCCCAATCTGAACATTCTCACAGTGGATTTCATGGCACAACACAGATTCATGACCCTGAATCCTGCAAATGAAAACACTTGCCTTTGTTTTTCACCCCTAGGTTGCAACGTGGCATGCTATCTACCATTTTGACTTGGGGTCGTTAGCTTGGTTTACTCTTCTTTTTTTTTTTCTTTGGGAGCCATTGATTTCATGGGTCCCAAGAATAAAACTTCATAATTATCCTTCTTGTATTTCACTTCAGTAGATTCAGCTGAAAGACTTGCAGGAGAAACCTAGGAGCCTTTTGGTTTCAGTGAGGGGGAGAGTTCTGTGGGGAGTGGTGAGGAAGCTTTTCAGGGAGGAATTAGAAGACAGAAGCTAAGAGAGTTTTCCCTGGAAGTGAGGGAGAGTCTTATGATGTATTATAAGTATTCCATATTACTTATTATATTATACAGTATTCCATCCCCACCTGATGGTCATCATATTATACAGTATTCCATCCCCACCTGATGACCATCATAAAATCTCTGCTTGCATACCACCAGCAACGGGGAGGTCACTCCCTCCCAAGGCAACTCTTCTCATCTTTGAACAGCTCTGAATTGGACTCACAGATTTTCCCCATTTCTCCGTGTCATTCACTTGTTGGTTCTCTTCCATGTGACAGCCTTTTCTCTCTTTCAAGGCCAATACACATTCTCCAAGAGAATTTCATTTCTAAGTAAGGCTGCTCTTCCCAAAACAATTTCAAATTTATAATCCAGGATAAAACAGGATATTTTGAGTGTGGGGCTGACCAGTTCAGAGTAGAGCAGTAGTTTTAAATTGAGGGAGATTTTACCCCCAGGCAACATTTGGCACTATCTGGAGACATTCATTTTTGATTATCACTGTGTGTGTGTGTGTGTGCACGCGTGCGTGCACAACTGGCATCGGTGGGTAGAGGCCAGGGACGCTCCTCCACATCCTATAACGGTCAGATGCCCCCTACAACAAAGAATGATTGTGCTTGAAATGGCAATAGTGCCAAGGTTGGGAATCCTGGAGTAGAGAATTCCAGTCTCTTTCTCTCTCTATTTTTGAGACAGGGTCTTGCTCTGTTGCTTGGGCTGGAGTGCAGTGGTGCAAACCATGGCTCATGGCAACCTCTACCTTCTGGGCTCAAGTGATCCTCCTGCCTCAGCCCCCTGAGAAGCTGGGACCACAGGCAAGCACCACCACACTCGGCTAATTTTTTTTTTTTGTAGAGATGGAGTTTCATCATGTTGCCCAGGCTGATCTTGAACTTCTGGGCTCAAGCGATCTGCCTGCCTTGGCCTCCCAAAGTGCTGGGATTACAGGCTTGAGCCACTATGCCCAGCCTCCAGTCTTTTCTTTTATGACTCCATTAAAGCAGCCAAGGATGGGATTAGCCTTGCAGTCAGGCACATCACTCCGATGATTTGGAGTAAGTATACTCCAAAAATCTTTTGGTCTTTGTCTGCCATAGGCTAGGACTATGAAACATCTTCTCCACCCCGAACCTGAGTAAGTCTAAGGGAGCAGAGAGTCTTGCTCAAGGTCTGAAATAGTCTCCAAATGTGTCTGTGCACTCTGCTCCATCTCTACTGTCAACCCCCAACACGAGCCACCATCTCTGCCCTGAGTTACTAGAACATTGCCCACGCGAATGACTACATAGCACTTAATAATAACACGTGCCCATATGCCCTAGTTGTTTACATATATGGACTATTTTAAGCTTCATGATGGCCCTAGGAGACGGGTATGATTGTCATTTTGTCCATCTTTTAGATGAGGAAACTGAGTCCCCAGGTGGCCAGGTAACTTGCCTGAGGTCATGCTAATGGGAGTTGGAGAAGTGGGGTCTTCCATGCCAGGCCATCTGGCCCCCCAAGTCTGTGCTCCTGACGCCCCGCCAAGCACGTGGCCTCTTCTTTCCTCTGCAGTGGGAACTGAGATGAGGAGCTTTGTCCAACTGGAAGTGCAGAAGTCACCACTGGAGGGTTTTATGCAGGGGAGTGACGTAAACAGGATCCCATTTGCATTTTTACAAGGTCACACAGGTGCTGGTAGAGAATGGGTTACTTAAGTTAGCTGGAAAATCTCCGATTTGAATGATCAATAGACTCAGTGATTGCTTTGGGCAAAATCTATGATTTCCAAGTTCTCTTTATTTTCCCACTTGGCTGTGCAGCCTGACCTCCTGAGGCCTCCCCTTGGCACCCACACTCTATCATACTTCTCACACACATCCGGCACCCCTTCTCCTTCAGGTCTTTGCTCTGGCTGGCACCTCCTCCTGGAAAGCCTTAGGGTTCCAGCTCAGGGACACCTCCTCAGGGATGCCCACCCTGATTACGCCTTCTCCACAGGCAGACCTCCATCCCCAGTACTCACCCCTCGTTAGCCTCAGCCACACACCCTGTTTATGTCCGTTATCGCGATGTCACAGTCTGCCACCATTTTTATTGATTGACTTCCCTGCTATGGTTTGTCTCCCTGACTCTGTGAGCTCCGAGACGAAAGGGAGGGAGCTTACTCACCGCCGTATCTAATCTCAAGCACCCAGAACAATGCTCTGGGGCATGCAGTAAAAATAATAATAATAATAAATAATAGAGTAGCCATTGCTATTTCTCGTTCCCATTTTATAGAATAGAAAGTCAAGATTTAGAGAGGTTGAGTAACTACCCTAATCACACATACCGTGTGTGTGTGTGTGTGTGTGTGTGTGTGTGTGTGTGTGTGTGTGTGTATGTGTGTGTGTGTCTCACAGGGGACAGGGCGTCAACCCAGGCAGTCTGAAACGGGCATCCAAACTCCACCCTCACACCATCTCACCTCGCCCTGGACCTCCTGGCTGCACCTCATCTCCGTAATGCATCAGAAAAGCCCTGGGTAGGGAGAGACCAGGGGCAGAGCAGAAAGAGAGAAAGGAACAAGAGAGAGTTAAGGAAGGACCTGAGAAAAAGAGGCTGAGTTGGGAGCGTGGAGAGGAGATTGTGGGAGGGGATATGTAGGGGAGAGATTTTTCCCATCAATTAACACAGGCTTCATAGAAACAGAAAGTATTCCTGGCAGTCTTGCCCTCTTAATACATCATATCTCTAATCCCCGGAGCCCTCTGACCTTACCCATAATCCCTCCTCTTTTGTTCTGCTGCCTAAACCCTTCCTACCCTGAACCGAGTATTACATCCCTGGTGAGGTCTGAGCAGAAGAAAGAAGGTGGCAGGGAGCAGGCCTGGGGGTTGGGGGAAGTGGAAGAATATACATCCTCCTAAGTGTTTGACCAACAAAATCGAGCTAAATTCCCCAGCCCGAGCAGTAAACTGTTCCTCTGAAAGGCCCGGGAGCCTCACCCTGTCTCTTTGGAGCCTCCCTGGCCCCCCTCCCCTTCCCTCCTGGCTCCCCTGCCGTAGCTGAGACACAAAGCTGGGCCCTGGATTATCTTAATTTCCATATGGAGAGCTGTGTAAGCCAGTTCAATGCATGGCCAGTCATTTTGTTCACAACTTTGCAGCAAGCAGGAGCAAAAGCCGCTGGGAAATTAGCCATTCATCCTATCTCACCTTGTGTGTGCATGCATAGATCAGTAAATACAGAGGCACGGGGAAACCGAGTCTTCTTTGTTAATTACCACATTGGGCCCTGCCGCTTCCCTGAAATTCACTGCAACTCTTGGTTTTTGAGGAAAACACACACACACACGTACACACAGATGCACAAACACAAACACACACTTATGTACATGTATATATTTTACATTCACTTTTAAGCAGCACTGGGGCAATGAGGCTTACGTATTTGTGTTTCTTGGAATTGGGCAGCCAAGGGGGGCTATCGGGACTCTCCCTATCCGTCTCCCTTGCACACACAGACACAGTACACCTCACCTCTATATACACACAGGGCCTACCTCACCCCTATACACACACAGGGCCTACCTCACCCCTATACACACACAGGGCCTACCTCAACCCCTATACACACAAAGGGCCTACCTCACCCCTATACACACACAGGGCCTACCTCACCCCCTATACACACACAGGGCCTACCTCACCCCTATACACACACAGGGCCTACCTCAACCCCTATACATAAACAGGACTTGCCCCATCCCTATACACACACAGGGTCCACCCATCCCTATACACAGGGTCCACCCCATCCTACTCTCTTACACACTCATAAAGTCTACCCTGTCCTACTACACACACACACACACACCATCTCCTTCCTATCTATATACAACTACACACGTACCGTCTCCACTCTATCCATACACACACACCACCCATCTCCATCCTATCTATATACGACTACACATGCCATCTCCTCCATCGTATCCACACACACACACACATCTCCATCCTATCCACACACACACACCATCTCCATCCTAGCTACACACACACTCCATCTCCATCCTATTCACACACACACACACCATTTCCATGCTACACACACACACACACACACACGCAGTACATGCCATCCTCCCTCACACTCCCACAGTCTGCCCCTCCCTTCACTCCATCCCCAGTCAAATTCTGAGTAATACCATCTGACAGCATCTCTGGGCCTCTCTCCCCTGACCTTGATGGGGTCTACATCTTCCCTGCGACCCCCAACCTCTCCCCATCCTGGCATTCCCCCCAGGTCTGGGTGGGCTTCTCCATCAGCCGGCCCCTCTGCCTTCAGGATGTCCTCAAAGCCTCCCTGCTGTCTCCAAGGTTCTCTGCACCTCCACCAGCCCCTTCCACCTCCTAAGACTTTAGAGCTCCCCTCGACCCCCCAGGATCACCCTCAAGCAAAGCTCTGATCTCCCAGTGAGCCTGGCCTGGGGTGGTTTTGTGTGCCCCCAGCCGGCCTTCTCGGGGATCTCTGTGCAGGGTTGCATGTCGCCCCCTCCGACACCAAACTCAGGACTGGGGAGGGGTGGGTGCCCAGGCAAGAGGAGAGAAGAGAGAGCAACGGGGTCTTTAGGAGGATCGGGAGAGAAAAGGGAAGATGGCTAAAGAAATAAATAGCCCAGACAAAACACCCCTGGAAAAAGCTTCCAGGAAGTTCAGAGAGGCCCAGATGGGGAGGGAGAGGGAAGCCGGAACAAGAGGGTGTGGGAGAGCTCAGGATGGCCTCCTAGGTGTTTGGGGTTGGCCTGTCACTGTCACCGCAGATGAAACCCTGCATAATTGTCCTCCATCTATTTCCTCACAGTCAACGCAGTTCAGGGAGCTCTCGGGGAGCACTTGGGGAGCACTCCAGGAGCCTGGAGGCAGAGGCTGCAGTGCAGTTCCTAGCTCTGCCTCTTCTCAAGGTAAACCCCTGCACCTGTCTGAGCACCACTCGCCCGATCTGAGAAATGGGTCAAGGCTGGGACCCACCTGAAGGAGTTACCATCAGGATCTAGTGGGTGATGAACCAGGGCAAGTGGCAGGTGCAGTGGGCACACTCCATGGGTAGGGGAAGCCGGGGTGGTGGTTGCTGCTGTCACCTCGGAATCTGGTATAGAGTGAGTGTTCAATGAACAGTGACAACCAAAGTCTTTCCCATGACAATACCTCACATCCAGCGGGTGCTTCAAGATCGCCAGCCGCAATTGCTATTGTGGCTGTGAGTGTCATAGTTACTATTGTCATACTTCTAGTACTAGTACCACTTCTGCTATGTCACAAAGTCTGGAATCCAATAGGTACTTAATAAATGGTAGCTAACACCATACCACAAATCAAGAAACCCAGGGAAATGGCCCCTGCACAGAATGTCATAATATAGGGAGAAATGACTCAGAATAGGAGGCCAATTTGACTGGAAAAGCTTCCTGGGGCAAGCACTTCCCACTTGGGCCCTGGAGGGTGAGTAGGAGCTGGTCAGCAAAGTGAGGCAGGAAGCCTCGCTGATGTGTGCAGCTGAGAGGGTGGGACAGGGTGAGGCCACCTGAAGGTTTGGGGAGCTTCCTCCTTGTCTGGGGAGAGAAGACTCTGCCCAGACCCCTGGGGAAGCTTATAAGGCAGAGAGAGGCTCTGTTTTTTGCAATGGCTGAGAGCTTGGACACTGAAGCCAGATGCTTGGCACGTGACTTTACCTCTCTGAGCCTCAGCTTCCTCATCTGTGGAATGGGGATGATAATAGGGCCTCTCATAAGGTTGATGGGGAGGGATTGATAAGACATGTGAAGCATGAAGCAGTTTCTGGGCCCAGCAAGTGCTCAAAGAATGGTGGGTATCACAACCTTGATCTTGACAAAACTGCCCCTCCCTATCCCCCCAACCTCAAATATCCCATGTGAGCATTCCTATGCTGCCTTGATCATGAAAAGCTGGAACTTTTCTCTCCTAGGCACAAGGCTGTTGTCAAGCCAATCTGCAAACCCCTACTGCAGCAGGGACCCCATCTCCTTCCCCTCCCCACCTGGTATCCCCAGCTCCATCCTCTCCCCTTTCTCAGCCTTTGCACAAACTGGTGCCTCTGTCTGGAACACCATCTCCCCTCTTTTCTCTCTGAGTTGCTGTGTCCCATCCTCTGAGTCCCAGCTGCCAGGCTAGGTCCTTCTGGAAGCCTTCCCCGGCTCTGCAAGCTGGGTCGGGGCCCCTCTTAGGGAGTCTCTGCAGTTCCCTGTGCTTTTCCATCAAGCATGTGTCATTCTATGTGAATGTGAGCAATATAAGGGCAAGGTGTACGTAGTAGGGGGGCTGGCACACAGTAGGTGTTCAACTGAAAAATGTCCACAAAAAACAAAAACACACACAACAAAAATGTCCACATGACCCACAAATCCCTAGGGAGCATTTCAAGATTTCTGAACCACCTCCTATAGAACCCCTGCTGTGAGCTCAGATTGATGGCCAGAATGTCTTGGGTCTCTCTTTCCCAAGTCGCATCCAGCCAAATGAGGTGATGCAGAGTCCCCTGCCCGACTTAGACCTCATTTCTGGATTGGGCCCCTCCTTCACCTCCTCCTCCAGGAAGCCTTCCCTGATACTCTCAGCAGCATGTGCTGGAGTTCTCCTCTGATCTGCCAGAGCCTGTTGGGGTGGCCTTTCTATTTGGATGGTGCTAATTCTTCCCCATACCCTAGTTAGGGATCTCGACAGCTGACCTGCCCCTGCTAGATGGCAAATTCAGGGTGAGCAAGGGCATTCTCAGGCAAGGCAATTTCTGTCTCTCTGTTTCTGGAGTCAGACTGTCAAGATACAAGCCTGGATGCCACATGTACGAACTCTGTGACTTTCAGTCAATTGCTTAATGTCTTGGTGTCTTGGAGTTCTCATCTGTAAAATGGGAATAAAGACACCAACTTCTGAGAATTACTAGGGGATTATCTTCGGCCATGCATTTACATGCTTAGCAGAAAGAAGGGCTCCTAAAAAGCCGGTTGCTGCTACAAAGCAAACCTTTGTAGT
Organism: Homo sapiens; assembly: GCF_000001405.40. Classification (NCBI taxonomy): domain Eukaryota; kingdom Metazoa; phylum Chordata; class Mammalia; order Primates; family Hominidae; genus Homo; species Homo sapiens. The sequence goes on from NC_000012.12 coordinate 113,668,584, forward strand.
TCTTACGCCACTTAGGACAAAACTTAGCACACATTACATGCTCAGTCAATGCCTAAAGAATGCATAAGAGAGAATGCATTATTTTGCCAGCTGGGGTGACGTTGGGCAAGGTTCTGAATCTTAATTTCTGCCTCTGTAAAATAGAAATAATAATTTTACCTACCTCACCTGGGTATGTTGTGGAGGGTAAATGGTATAATGTAAATCATGTAAATAAAACATCTGCCCTGCGTAGGACTGGAATGAATAAAAATATCTAATATTTAATTGATGTTTCTAAATGCCAGGCCCTTGTGTTATGCATTGAATCCTCCCAACCAGGGAGGACCTATTATTGTCACAGATGAGGAAACTGAGGCACAAATAGGTGAAGCCACTTGGCTAAGGTCACGCAGCTGGAGTGGCAGAGCCATGAGGAAACGGCATTGGCTGCAGAGTCCCTTCCCTTATCCACTACACTTTCTTGCCTATTGTGATAAATATTTCTTTCTACCCTTCCCACACTTCCCATTAGATCACCAACTCTAATGGGTGGAGCAGAGGGGAATGGCTGCTGCACATCTCTTATAAAAACTCTCCCTGGCTGGGCGCCGTGGCTCATGCCTGCAATCCCAGCACTTTGGGAGGTCGAGGTGGGCAGATCACCTGAGGTCAGGAGTTCAAGACCAGCCTGACCAACATGGTGAAACCCTGTCTCTACCAAAGATACAAAAATTAGCCTGGCGTGGTGGCAGGCTCCTGTAGTACTTGCTACTTGGGAGGCTGAGGCAGGAGAATTGCTTGAATCCGGGAGGCAGAGATTGCAGTGAGCTGAGATTGCGCCACTGCACTCCAGCCTGGGTGACAGAGTGAGACTCTGTCTCAATAAATAAATAAATAAATAAATAAATAAATAAATAAATAAATAACTCTCCCTGCTCAATGTCTAGAACAGAGTTCTGCAAATATTGGATTACCAGCCTGCGTCCTAAACGTGCAAAGCACTTCACTCCCATGCAAAAGCAGGTTCTGGGGAAGAGCATTGCACGGTGTTTTAAGACCACAGGCTTTAGGGCAGAAAAACCTTTGCTCGAGTCCCAGTTCTGCCTGCACAATGCTGTGTGACCTTGGGCAAGTGACCTCCCCTCTCTGAACCTCAGCTTTGCATCTGTACAATGGCGTAAAATAAGCCTCCCTCCCTGATAGGGTTGGGGCATAGATTAAATGAGTTGTGAACCAGGGGACCCTAAGCACACGGAAAGAGCCAGAATGAGCCCGGGCTGCATTCTGGGATCCCCCATCCCTGGTCTCTGTCCTGCACACGGAGGGGCAGAGTGGAGATTCCGAGAGTGGCCCGGCCGGCTTTTCGGCTGCCGCCTGCGCACGGTGTCAGGCGGCGGGTGATGGATCGGCTCGGACACACTCCACAATAGCTCGCAGACACTCTATTACCCGGTGATTGTCTGCCCAGCGGCCCTGCTCGGGCCGTGCTGCTACAGATAATGGCCCAGAACAAAGATGGCAGCTGCTTTGTAGGGGAACAGATTTGTGGCAAGTTGAGATAAAATAAAGAGGAAGGAGAAAGGGGAGAGGAGACGGCGGCAGGGGGGCAGGGAACATAAAAGGAAGAAAGAGGGAGTGAGGGCGAGAGAATGGAGGGACGGGAGCCAAGATGTTGCGGGAGAGAAGGGTGGTGGGGCTCAGGCTGGGGAAGGACGGAGGCTGGCTTTGTCCAATAATGATGGTGACAATGATGGTGATAATAATAATAATGATGGTAATAGGCTGCAAGCTCTTGGTGCTGTCAGTGGAAAATGCCCCAATAGCTTAGGCTGAGCTGGTACTTTCTATTCTTGCCCAAACTCACGAATAGCGGTGGCTCTGGCCTCCGGCCTGGGGCCTCTGGAAGTGGGTGGGGGTCTGGGCCAGGGGGTTCCACCCCAGGTAGGAGATCCAGCTTCCAACTCCCATCCTCACTCAAAGCTCAAAGAAGGTAGAAGGGTGGGAAAGGGCAGGGAAGGGGAAAGGACCTTCCTTCAGCTGGGGTCGTTCCCTTTAAAGTTTCCCAAGCCCCACACTCAGTGACTTTGGCCGACACCTTACTGACCATCCTGGTTGCAAAAATAGGTGAGAAATGTGTTCTTTCACCTGAGCCCAAAGCTGCCCAGAATAAAACCCAGGTTCTTTAGTAAGGAAGGCAGGGGAATGGATATTGAGAAAGCAGTTAGCTGTCTCCACCTCAGGTACTTAATAATGAACATTTATTGAGCATCTATTATGCTCTTTGACCCATGGCATTCTACATAATGCCTCACCTAGGAGAGAGGCAGTGTGATTATCCATTTTGCAGATGGGACAACTGAGGCTCAGAGAGGTAAACTGACTGCTCAAGGCCACACAGCACACATAGCACTCAAACCTAGGTCTGTGGTCCGGTTTTCTGCTAGATTATCTTCCTTCACCCAAAGAGTCTCTCAATGAGGTCATCATCATGATATTCAGGAGCTGGGGTGTGGCAGGACAAGAAAGTGGATTTTATAATTTCAGGAGGGAGAAGGGTAGGAGCAAGCTTGGAGGAGGTGTGGACTGAGGGCAGAGACACGGTGCCGATGAGGACAACAGTGACAATAATATTTGCCAGTCACTTTCCCTTTTCACACTGTTTCCTGGCTATCATCTCAGTTGAAGTTTACAAATGCCTCTGGGTGAGCCAGGGAAGATTTTAGCAGCTCTGTTGAACAGGTGGGGAACAGAGCACCCACATCCTGAAGTGGAAAGGACAAGTCGAGCCCAGACCTGCATTAGTCCACCTGTTTCCTCCGCCTACAGGGTTTCCCCGTGCATTTTCTCCTCATTCTTCAAGGCCTGTTGGGATGCTCCTTCCTCCAGAAAGCCCTTCCCGTTTCCTCCTGGACTTGTCCATACCTGGGGGAGTGCTAACCTGGGAAAAGGATTGCGCTTGCCTGGATGAGGAGAGTATGTCTCATTTCCCTCTATGTCCTCATGCCCAGCCCGGCCCACACAGCACTGGGCTTATAGGGGTGGAACAGACCACCTGCTCTGTCGTGACTTAGGGACAGGTCGTGGCTTTCTTTCCTGACTGCTGCCGGAACTAGACTTCCCAGGCACAAATCCCACCAGCAGAGTAACCTTGGGCAAGTCTCTTCACTTAGCCAAGCCTCACGTTCCTCATCTGTCAACTGGGGACATAATTGTAGCTGCCTTGAGGGTGTGGTTGTTGTGAGGATAAGAGAGGACACTCGTGTTGAGTGTGAGTGTGGCACAAAGCTTGCACATAGTAAGTGCTCAATAAACACAACCTCTCCAATCCTTCCTGATCTCCACCGCTACGGGGGAAAAGACTGACCCCACCTCTCAATGCATTGTTTGGCTAATCAAGGCCACCTGAGTAACGTGCTCAGAGCGGAACCTGGCAGGCAGTAGGCGCTCCAAGCCCTGGGCTGCACAAGCCTATGGGTCTACACTGAAGAGATCCAGGCCTCATCGCATTGGCATTTCGCTAACCCCTGGGCCTAGCTGGCACTTAAAAGCTGGAACAAATTCCATTAATTTGCTCCACTCCTAACCAATTGGATTCCATGGCTCTCCAAGCGCCAACTGTGTACAAGACCCAGTGTCTAAAGCAGGGACACTCAGTAGAAATATAAAGGAAGTCACACCCATCAT